>NC_000006.12:157798062-157949577 GCF_000001405.40 Homo sapiens
GAATATTTTCATGGTTTCAAAGTACCTCCTTACCAGAGTCTTACTAGCATCAAAAGAAAAAAGGGGAGAAAACCTAGAAGACAACACTCTAATCAAGTGATCAAAGTTAATATCATCTGTAATGAAATAAATGGAAATTTTATACCCCCTGTGAGGGCGCAATGAGACGAACTCACCATGATTTCTGTGATATTCCTGCAAAAAAGCATAACCTGAATCTAATCATGAGGAAACACCAGTCAAACCCAAACTGAGCAACATTCTAGAAAGTAACTGGTTTGTAACCTTTGAAAATGTCAAGATCCTGAAAGTCAAGAATAAACTGATGAACTGTTCTAGATTGATGAAGATCAAAGAGGAATGAGAAGAAATGTAATGCTCGACCCTAGGCTGGATCCTTTTTAATAAAGGACATTATTGGGATAATTGGTGACATTTGAACATGGTCTGATGACTAGCTGACTGTACTTCACCAATGTTAATTTCCTGATTGCGAGGGCTGTACTGTGGTTATTTAGGAGAATGTCTTTGTTCTTAGGGAATTTCACACAAAAGTATTTAGGGGTGATAGGATATCATAGCAGCAATTTACTCTTAAGTGGCTTATTTCTACAACCTTTCTCTAAGCTTGAATGCATTTCAAATATTAAAAAGCCAGGGATGGATGGTGGTGATGGTTGCACAACAATGTGAATGCACTTAATGCCACTCAATTGTACACTTAAAATGATAAATGTATGTTGTATGTATTTTACAATAATGTTTTTAAAGCTAGGAAAATCATATATGAAAAATAGATAATAAAATGGTTGCTCGGGAAATACATTCAGAACTAGTTGGTTCTCTGTATTAGTCAGTTCTCACGCTGCTATAAAGAATACTACCTGAGACTGGGTAATTATGAACAAAAGAGGTTTAATTGACTCACAGTTCCACAGGCTTAAGAGAAACCATGGCTAGGAGGCCTCAGGAAACTTACAGTCATGGTGGAAGGGGAAGGGGAAGCAGGCACCTTCTTCACAAGGCAGCAGGAGGGAGGGTGTGCAAGAACGAGGAAGTGCCACACTTTAAAACCATCAGCTCTCTTGAAAACTCACTCACTATCATGAGAACAGCCTGGGGGAGACGACCCCCAATGATCCAATCACCTCTCACCGGGTCCTCCCCTGACACACGGGGATTACAATTCGAGATGAAATTTGGGTGGGGACACAGAGCCAAACCATGTAATTCTCTGAACTCGAATTGCATGTGTGTGTGGAGAGGTATGTGTACATGCACACTTACCTGAATCCTAGCGAAGAGGATTAAATCAATTACTCTCACCCAGTGGGTCTCCTTGGGGCAAGATCAGCCTTGAGGGCTATTTGCAACTTTGTGGGGACACTTTTCTATTGTCACTATTACCGGAGAAGGAGGGCACTACTGGAATTTAGTAGGTGGGGGCTAGAGATACTATAAGAGAGCCTAGACTGCTTGTATTAGTCCGTTTTCACACTGCTGATAAAGACATACCCGAGACTGGGAAGAAAAAGACGTTTAATTGGACTTACAGTTCTACATGTCTGGGGAGGTCTCAGAATCATGGCAGGAGGCAAAAGATACTTCTTACATGGTGGTGGCAAGAGAAAATGAGGAAGAAGCAAAAGCAAAAGCCCCTGATAAACCCATCAGATCTTATGAGACTTATTCACTATCACAAGAATAGCATGGGAAAGACCCGGCCCCCATGATTCAATTACCTCCCCCTGGGTCCCTCCCACAACACTGGGGAATTCTGGGAGATCCAATTCAAGTTGAGATTTGGGTGGAGACATAGTCAAACCATATCACTGCTATAATGTGGACAGCCCATGAGATAAAGAATTGTCCCAAGTCTCCATGGTTTTCAAGCATCCCACAGGCATTCATGAGGGGGAAAACTTTTCCTAAATATCTCCACCTAAGAACTCCATTTTACATAGAAATACAAAACATTTTTTCACAGTTTTCACATTTGCTGAATTTTCCAGGAATGCAACTACCATGTAAATTGAGAGCAGTTTGTACTTCATCTGTTTAAAACTCTACTAAGAAGCTGCTCACTATTTGGGAAAAATAAGATCACCTATAGCAATGTTGTCCATGGTATTTGAGTAGCCAAACACCTACCTCTATCACTCTGCCTTTGGGACTTTTGTAAGCAACCATGTGACAGAGTTGCTTTGAGTCTCATCTTAACTGACAACCAAAAAATTATGAAATTAGCAAAGACACATGAAATACTTTAAAAGAATTATTTTAAAATGTTTTGTAGGCTGAGTGCAGTGGCTCACACCTGTAATCCCAACCCTGGGAGGCTGCGGCAGGTGGATTGCTTGAGCCCAGGAGTTTGAGACCAATCTGGGCAACACGGCAAAACTGTCTCTGCCAAAAAAAATAATAATAATAAGATAAAATAAAATAATCAGCTGAGCATGGTGGCACGTGCCTGTAGTCCCAGCTACTTGGGAGGTTGAGGTGAGAGGACTGGCTGAGCCCAGGAGGTCAAGACTGCAGGGAGCTGTGACTGCATCACTGCACTCCAGCCTGGATGGCAGAATGGGACCCTGTCTCAAAATAAATAAAATATTTTATGATAGCTATTAAATGTATATTACTTTTGTTACCTAATGGTAAGAAATACATTGTGAAACTGCATACTGTGGTGACTCATTCCTTACTTGCCTACAGTCTCTCAGTCTTACTCAGATGCTGTTTCCAGAGGTCTACCACAGCCTCCCAGCCCCTATTTCACTCTGTCTCTTTCCAGTCCATTCTGTCTGCTCCATTGACCATGGAAGCCCACGTCTCCAAAGCTTTCTGTAGTGTGAATTAAGGAGCTCCATCTAGGAGCTATGATCTTGGCCATTCTCAGTCACAACACTGTCCCATGTCAAAAGGCAAGAAATTATTTTGACACTACACTTGGAGGTGAGCTCTGAGTTCACCTGTGAGGATCTCACACTTGCCCACTTCCGACAGTCTACCTTTCTTTGGGCGTATGACTTCAGGTGAGGTTATCTTCTCTTTCTTGCATCATATAGACATAATTTTGGCCTGTTATTTACCCTAGTGCATACACCTCCCTTTACTCTTTCATTTTCTATACTGTTTCTACAGACGGGCTTCTGATCTTCTTCACTTCTTGTGAAACCAAACATTATAAGCAGGTGCAAACATTGTTTCATATGTTTTCCAAAGTAGCTGTGCGTGAGCATTTATATGTTACATATTTTTTCATAATTACTTCTCTTTTATCCCTCCTTAATTTTATAATTGGGACATTATGTGTGCTTTAAAATTATGTGTGTGGGTAGCTTTTATTTCTATACATAGAGGGGACATTACAAAATATCCACTGTGTGCCAGGCATGGTAGTTTGTGCCTGTAATCCCAGCACTGTGGGAGGCTGAGGCAGGAGGCTCTCTTGAGCCCAGGAGTTTGAGACCAGCCTGGGCAACATGGTGAAACCCTGTCTCTACAAAAAATACAAAAATTAGCTAGGCATGGTGGCGTGCACCTGTAGTCCCAGCTACTCAGGGGGCTGAGGTGGGAGGATCCCCTGGCCAGGGAGGTAAAGGCTGCAGTGAGCCATGATCTCACCACTGTACTCCAGCCTGGGAAACAGAGTGAGACCCTGTCTCAAAAAAACTTAAAAAAAAAAAAACCCACAAAATATCCATTGTGAGAAGAAGGTGGCTGTTGTGTCTGATGAGAACGCGTGCTCTGACAGAAAGAACTGCTTGTCATGTCAAAGGTGGCTTCTACCATCCGAGGCATGTTGTGAAGACAGGAAGCAACATGATGGGACACTTTTTAAAAGATCCCTGCGGGAAGAGTTGAGGGAATTGAGGTTGCCAAGCCCAGAGCATCCACAATATTCAGTCCTCAAATACCTCAAAGGCAGTTGAGCACACTGAGGTTTGGATGGGCTCAGGGTGGCCCCAGGGGACAGAAACTTGGCCAATGGGAATATTCTCAGAGAGGCGGATGTTCATTCAAGATGTTCTTCAGATATCTGAGGGTTCTTATGGCATAGACTAAGATAGGGAATGATTTGTTTACTTAAGGCTGCCCCCAGTGGGATCCTCATCTTCCCCTCTGCCCTCCGCAGCTGCTATTGAAGGTGTTCAAACAGATGCTGGAGGCTGTAGAGGGGCAACTCTGAGAGGTGTCCAATCTGGACCCATCTGTGTATGGAACAGCTTCAGGGTGTCACCTCTGGGACCAGGCTGCTGAGGTCCAAATCTTATGCCAGCAGCTTCCTAATGAGGTGACAATGGGGCAACTTGATTTCTCTGTGTCTGACTTTCCTCGTGTGTAGGATGGAGGTGATGCTTTAAAATCCCCTTCTCTGAGGGTTGTTATGGCATAGACTAAGCACTCAGTAGATGTCAGCTATTTCTGTTAATCTTTATAAAGCACTACAGGGCAAAACAGAAATAAGAAACAGAGTCCTAAGAACTTTCCACTTCCCCATTGAGACCCAGTAATAACATTTTTAACCTTGGGTTCCAAGAAACTTTCCTGTATTATTATAGGATAGTTCCTTTTTGTGTTTGTGCGAATTCAAGTTACTTTAAGTTATCTGCAACCAAAGTAGTTTGACTAATACAGATGAAAAGGATCTAAAATACCTACTGAAAACAGGGCTAAGAAAAGCTGACAAAATAGTGCCAGCATTTAGGGGTTAATATGGCAGCAGACTCCGGATCTTGCTTGGTGGGCCCCCCCGAACTTTCCAGTAGAATACCTGTGAGTGTACACAAAACTCGATGAACTTGCAACACCCCTGGACATTAGAGAGGGGAGAAAGCCATGTTCCAGAATATAGGGAAATTTTCACTGCTTTGGGGTGGAGGAGGTTGGGTTGAAAATTACCCTTGTGAACCATACGTCCCTGGTCCCTGAACCAGCACAGTAATGGATGGCTGGAGAGAAGGTAGTTTCTGACTCAACTCAATTAGAAGGCCCCTTTAATAGCTTGACAACACTTCTCTGAGCCGACTAACTTGTCTTTCGTGTGTGCATGTAGCAAGGATGGTCTTAAATAGGCAAGGGCTCAAAAAATATGCCATCCTATACATTCCTGAAAACATCACTCAAATAGGAATGTCATGCTGTAAGTATTGAAGCCAATTGAACATACACATAATTCTTTCCAATATGGTTTCAAAACTGATACAGAAATAAAACTCTTGAAAAAGATCTATATGAGGAAATACTTCACATATTTTAGAAATAACAAACAAAAAAGAGAGCGTGTGAAGGGAAAGAGGGTTCTGTACCTAAGGGAAAAGTTGTTCTTAACTTTAATAATGAGAGAAATTGATTTAAGCATGTAGCTCATAAACCTAAATGTAACCTCACATAGTCTTAAAACAGAATGCCTACATCAAAATTACTATAGGAGATGAAAGCAAATAAAAGATACCATATATCCCACATGACAAGAGATGCAAACCAAGAAAATAACAAAGACGCATAATGAGCAGGAAGCATACATCAAGGCGACTGAAACAGGACCAAGAGCATCACTAGAATTATCAGTGGTTAATGACAAGTAGGATACAACACCATACACATATGAATGCAATTATTTAAAACATGTATCGAAGAGTCTGTATGGAAAAGTGTTTAAATTAGTTGCATTTTGCTTGTATGTGAATTTCTTCTGTTTCTTTGTCCTTTTCTGGGGTTTGCAATTTGTCAACAATGAACATGTATTACTGTACAGGGCTCATTACTGCAAGCAATAGAAACTAATTCTGACTTTTTTTTTTTTTTTTTTTTTGAGATAGAGTCTCACTCTGTCACCCAGGCTGGAGTACAGTGGCATGATCTTGGCTCGCTGCAATCTCTGCCTCCTAGGTTCAAGCCATTCTCCTGCCTCAGCTACTCAGAGTAGCTGTGACTACAGGTATACACCACCATGCCCGGCTAATTTTTGTATTTTTAGTAGAGATGGGGTTTCACCATGTTGGCCAGGCTGGTCTTAAACTCCTGACATCAAGTGATCCACCCCTTGGCCTCCCAAAGTGCTCATATTACAGGCGTGATCCACCACGCCCAGCCTAACTCTGACTGTTTAAGCTTTTTTAAAAATGAAAGAATGTATTAGAAGGCTGTTGAGAGTTTACTGAATCAAGGAGAGGCCTAAGGGACTTGCCTGTGATGATAGTAATGAAAGCAGCTTGTTTATGGTTTTTATGTCCTGGTTTTACTTATGAATGGGGCAAATTGATTCTTAGTACTCCCACCCAAAATGTTCTCACAAAAGTATTCAGTGCTGGCCCTTTACTCTGCTGAAACTACTGGGAATGCATCCTCTCTCCTCCTATGCATTCCTCTAGCTGGTTTCAAGGACTTGGTGAGTGTATCTGTATTAGGGTTTTCCCTATAAACACAGGCAATCAGTAGTAGAAAGAGAGAGAGGAAGTAGGCCAACAGGATGGAGACCCAGGGAAGAGATGTTGTTGGAGTCTGAAAGTCGTCTGTTGGCAGAATTCCCTCTGCTTAGGGGAACATCAGTCTTTCCCTTAAGGTTTTCAACTGATAGGATGAGGCCCACCCACACTTTATCTGCTCTACTTAAAGTTTACTGATTTAAATGTTAATCTCATTTAAAAAAATACCTTCACAGTAATTTCTAGACTAGCACTTAACCAAACATCTGAGTACCATGGCCTAGCCAAGTTGACACATAACATAATCACCCCAGCATCCAGTTGGTTGAATCCAGGATGTGAGCTGGAGCGTGGAGGGAGGGAGGAGCCCGCCTTTACTGCGGTAGGGAGGAGCAGTGCTCGGGGCTCCACCAATACCACCCATGAGGGGGGTGCCCCAGAAGCAGGGAGGGAGCCAGGTGCTACACAGCTTTTTAAAAAGATAAACATTTGGCACAATTACATTTACAGATAACCAAAAAAAATAATTTTTCTTTACGAAGGACTTGTAAGTTCAGCAGGAAGGCCTTGGTGAGATTTGGAGGCACGAGTCATGTAAGCATGGTTTTATGACTGGATGAAGTGGTAGCTCCCCATCCCCACCCAGTGCTTTCCACTTCTGGCCTTGGCTAGGTTGGGGGACTGCATCACAAGCCACTCATCAACCAAGCTAGGAGCTGGCCTTCATCCTGACCCTCCCTCTGACTCATTGGTGTCCCAGCAGTCACCAATCGCTCCATCTCCCGTGTCTCTCCCCTCTATCCCTGGGGCCGCCATCCTGACCCAGGTTCTCATCGTCTCTCACCTGGACTCTTACCTGAACCTCCTGGTTGCTCTTTCTTCCCAGCTGCCTTCTCTACCATCGCTGACCATCCTTCACATGCCTCCTGGCTTGACTTTCTAAGAAACCACCCACACACTGCTGCCCTTAGCCTTGCCAATTACCTGCCTCCATGTGGGCTCCCAGAGTGTGGAGAGGGTCTGCTCCAACTTCCAGATGTAGGGGACTCTGGACCCAACTGATGAATGTGCTGTGATCAATGGAGCTGCCAGGTCCATCATGGTCCACCACAAATGAGGACAGAACACAGGACACAAATAAAAAGTTGGAAACTATAGAAGTTTAAATAAATCGACCTTTCCCACCTGAGGAGGTGAAATAAAACTTAGATTCACTCCATTTTGCTCAAAATGTTTTTCTGGATAATATTTTCACTCAATTTGCCTGTCTACAGCCCCCATTGTATACTCTATTATCTAAATATAAGTTTGTGTTAGTCTATCATACCTTCTTCTGTATTCTTTTACATGTATATTCAACCATTCAGCAAAGCTTTGTTGAGTGCCTATCCTCTGTCAGGCACTAGGTCAGGTGCTGAGTGTACCCAGATGTGTAAGATCAGGGCTATCTATTGTAGCTTCACACATGCATCAATTTTTCCCGGCCACAGGCTGGGTATGAAGTAAGTGCCTGTCGTAGTAATAGGCACTCAGCCCACTGTAGTCTGTGAGTTGAAAGTTATTATTTGAATGTTTTATTGGAATTCCATACACAAAAATTAATAAAAGTACGGTTATATCTTTCATCAGACTCTTAACAAGAAAGGATAAACAGCTGAAACAGTGTTAGCCTAAAATTGAGCTACTCTATAAATTCTCATCATTTTAAAAAGAAAAAATAGAAGGCATTTCTTTTCCTTGGCTTCTTATTCTGCTCCAGTTGGTAAAGCCATCATCTCCTTATTTCTTTTCCTCCATTTCTGCATGTGCCATAGGTTACTGAGTTGCCTATCTTCAACAGATGTGACAGTTACTCAAACCCTCCAAAATATTTGATCATTGTGGGGAGAAGCACATTTGTGAAACATTATTCCATGGATATAATTTTGGCTTTGCAACATTTAGTGGAAAAAATAAAGGAAGCATCCTAACGTTTCCCTCTAAATACCCACATGGTCTACAACTCTAAAATGAATCTCATTTAAAAAATATAAAGCAAATCAAACGTCCATCTGTATCCTACCGTCTACCAAATAATCTTAAAATCAAGTAAAAAATGGCAGCTGGTAGCATGCAAACCAACTGTTTGTTTGTTTTGATGTAGTCAGAAGCAGATGATTTAAATCACCTGCCAAACATTTACTTTGTGTTTCTGAAATTTAAATGCAGTTGTCATGGCAACACAACATTTGGATGATCTGAAAACTGGGACAACTGCATTTTTGGACCCAACTTCCTTTCTATGTCAATCTAAACTATATATATATATTTGGCTTCAGCCCTGGAAAAGCCCAGTACAGTGCTTGCAAAAATGTGATTACTAATCACCAACAGTGAGAATACCTGTAGGAAGATTAAATACCCTTCCCAAGATGGTTCCAGCTGATTATTCCAACTGCCTTCCACTGGCCGCTGCTCGGCCCCTCCACTCTGGCCCAGCTGCCTTCCTCCCCAGTCCTTTAATGAGCTACCTGCATTCCTACCACTACCCTTTCTTGGCTTCACCCTGTGCCTTTCCAACCTAAAGGAAGGCTCTTTCCTCTTCACACAATGTAAGTAATTTCCCTCCATCCTTCAAAGATAGGAGCAGCTGTCGTCTCCTCCTTAAGCCTCCCTTGACCATGACAGTTCACACTCTTCCTGCACAGTTATAGGACAAGGACTCTATTTGAGTGGGGCAGGGAGAAGGGAGACCCTTCACTTCCTCAACATTTGAAAAATGTGGCTGTTGCAATTGCATTCTAACTGATCCCCAAGTCATGAGTCACTTTCTTCTACATTATTAGATCTACCAGAATATTATAAAATAAATTTGATCATGTTTCTCTGTCACTTAAAATATTCAATTGTAAATCCTAAAATGATGAAAGATCTAAAACTCAGGTCCCAGAAACATGGCATACTTAGCTAATGCAGACCCTACTCTCTCTTTATCACATCTCCCCACAAACACATAGAAACACTATGTAAAATATAGCAAAATTATTTAAAATGCATAGCTGAGCTCAAAAGCTTAGATACCAGAAACAAAGAAGGAACTTAATGTCAGAATGAGTAGTAAATTTATAACTTGAGGTCTCAGATATTGGGATGAGGTCAGGAATTGGATTTGCATTTAGGCCCCAAAGGCTAGGGGAGGGATTTTAATACTCAAGTAAAGGCAGGAGGTGTCATCCTGGGCCCACATGAGGCAAAGAGCTGGAACTAAGACCCCCAAATAAACTAAGACTCTGGAGAAGCTATCCTTTCAATGAAAGAGGGACCAAAAAAAACTATATTCTCCCAAGAAAACAACAATAAAGTGTACCCTAGCCAGGGTCCTGGAAGGAAAAAGATTCCCAGTGAAATACTGAAGTTCCAAACCTGCATTATGCAGAGGTGTGGAGTCAAAATTTACAGTGCCTTCATTGTGTGAAAATTTACAAGCTAAAATTTTAATATGAAAATTAGTCTCACACTGGTGAAATCTCTGGTTACCTGGCAGAATAAAATATAAGATACTTCCCAAAGATATTTTCTTAGTTGAAAATACAAGTGATTTTCTCAGGAAAAAAAAAATCCTAAAGAAATGAGCTCATAAACAAAAACTATAAACTGCAGGAAGAAACAATTCACCACAGACACAATAAACAGAAAGATTAGCAAGAACTTGAGATTACAATAGAACTGGAAATGGCTGGTAAAATAAGTCTTTAAAATTATATTTTTAAAAGATATCATCATTTAAAAATAGGACTATATAACAAGATCCATATAGCTCCTATAGAAATAAAAATATATATTTTTTGAAATTTAAAATTCAATTGCTAGGTTAACAACAGATTGGACTTACTGAGGAAAGACTTGGATCTTTAAGAAATATCCCAGAGTACAACATAGAAAGATAAAGAGATGGGGAAAATGTAAACAGGTTAAAAGACTTAGAAGATAAACTCAAAGGTCTAATATACATCTCCATCAGTTAGCTTTTGTTGCCTAACAAACCACTGTATGTCTGTTTATGATGTTTTTGCCTCTCAGCTCCAAATTCACCCTTTTTGCCAGCTCTGTGAAAATGGATCTGAGCCCATTAAACATGTTTTCTTTGCCATATAGCTTGATATTAAGCTATGTCAGTAGAGGGCACCTGGAAGAGCAAGGAGTTTTTCCTTCTGTTCTGGTATGCTCACGATGTGCATGGCTTCCCCAGAAGTGAACTCCTGATGTGTGGGCAGTGTGCCCAGCACCAGGCTTCTGCAGGGCTCTTATCTTCTCTAGAGCACAACTCCTGCAGGATGCAGCCACCAGCAGCACCTAATGCCCAGAAAACATCAGAGAATACACATGTCAACAGTAATTGGAATAAAAGAGAGGACATCGCTAATGATTTTATAGACATTAAAAGGATAATAGGGGAATATTATTAACAGCATAATGTTAATTAATTTGGTAATTTAGATAAAATGAAAAATTCCTTGAAAGGCACATTTTACCAAAACTGACTCAAAGTAAAAAAGGATGCAAATAAATCTCTATCAACCAAAGAAATTGAATTTGTAACAAAAAGTCTTCCCATTAAAAAGAAAGCTTAGGCCTTTGACTCTATCAGGTAACTTAATATTAACCAAAAATGTTCAAGATAATGCAGTGCTGGCAGAAGATTAGACATACAGACTGACAGAACAGGATAGAGAGCCCTGAAACAGACCTCATATCAATGCTCAACAAAGTTGTCCAGGCATTTCAACGGGGGAAAAGACAATCCTTTCAACAAATGGTGTCTTAGCAACTGGATGTTTGCATACTTAAAACAATGAACCCCAACCTTTAGCTCACATCATACACAGAAATTAGCTCAAAATGGTTCATGGACCTAAATGTAAGAGCTAAAGCCATAAAACAAATGAGAAAATCTTCATGATCTCATGATAGGCAAAGATTTCTTAGAGCATAAACTGTAAAAGAAAAAAATGATAAGTTGGACTTATTTTGGTTTTCGAAAGATACCATTAAAAATAAAAAGCCAAGAAATACATAAAAAGGAACTTGGGGAAAATATTTATAAAACAAATATCTGATAAAGAACATATCTAAAACAGATTAAGAATTTTGCTTCTAAATAATAAGACAAAAAACCTAATTTTAAAATGGGCAAAGGATTTGAACAGATACTTCACAAAAGATGCTATATTATATGATGCTCAACATTGTTTGTTGCCAGGGAAATGCACATGAAAACGATGAGATACAACTGCATGCACACTAGAATGACAAAAACTAAAAAGACTGACAGTATCATGTGCTGGTGAAGATGTGGAGCAACTAGAAATCTCACATGTTTCTGTTGGGAATTGGGAATGGAAAATGGTACTGCCATTTTGGAACAGTATGTCATGTTATTATATAGTTAAACATCCTCTTATCATATGATCACTCAATTTCATTTCTAGGTCCATACTCAAGAGAAATAAAAACACATGTCTACAAAAACACTGGTATGCAATGTTCATAGTAACATTATTCACTATAACCCTTAACTGGAAACAGCCCAAATGTCTATCGAGGAGTAAATGAATAAACAAATTGTGGCATATCCATTGAACAAAATACTACTTGGCAATAAATAAGAATGACCACTGATATATACAACTGCATGAATGAATTTTTTTAAATATCATGCTAAGTAAAAGAAGCCTGCCACAAAATACTACATACAGTATGGTTTAATTTATATGGCATTATATCATAAAAGACAAAAATATAATGACAGAAAGTGGGTTGTTTGGGACAAGGGTTGGTGATAGAAAATTGATTACAAGTGGATGCAAGGAAACTTGCTTGGATGTTTTGTATCTCCACTGTGGGGGTGGTAAGCTGTCTCTATATATTTCAAAACTCAATGAATTAAACACTTAAAATCACTGAATTGTATTATAAATTACTCCCTAATAAAGCTGTTGGGAAAAAATTCCAAGGTCTTTGATGATACTGTTGAGCTGTGGAATCAATTAACTATAAAATCTGCCCAGGCTACTTGCAAGCGAAGTCATTCTAATCAATCTAACTGATAACTGTTCCCTTAACTCTTCGGTTATTGCATTGTAACCATTTGCTTATTCTTCCTTTCTCCACTGACTTATGAAATCTTCAGGAACGGAACCCTTGATGTTGGGTTTTTTTTTTTTCTGTCTGACATACAGAAGGAATTTTGTAAATTCCTGCTGAATAGTAATTGATGCAATCTCTCTCTGGCAAAGCTCATTTAAAACTGTAGTTTGGCTGGGTGTAGTGGCTCATGCCTGGAGTCCCAGGACTTTGGGAGGCCAAGACTGGAGGATCACTTGAGCCCAGGAGTTAAAGACCAGCCTAGGCAACATAGTGAGCTTCCATTTCTAAATAAAAAATAAAAAAATTATCCAGGTGTGGTGGTATGCACCTGTAGTCCCAGCTACTCAGGAGGCTAAGGTGGGAGAATCACTCGAGCCCAGGAATTCGAGGCTACAGTTAACTACGATAGCATCACTGCACTTCAGCGAGACCCTGTCACCAAAACAAAAAACAAAAAACAAAAACTATAGTTTGATACCATTTTTTTTCCTTGAATCACCTTTTATTGATGCCTGTGTTTCCTCACTCCTTATTTATGGAACAAACAACTCACCTTCCTTGAAGTGAGTAAAGATGCAACTAACACCAACTCACAAAAAAAGAAAAGTACAGTTTTCTTGGAGTCATGAGGAGTCAAAATGCTTGAGCCTAAAGAGTGGCTTGATGAAAATCAGTTTGCATTTGTGTCACCTCCAGAGATGGCTCTCCTGGGCTCCTTAAGAGGTTTTCAGACTTAAGAGTCATTAGTGCAGTCTATGCTAGAGCCACAATTAGGGATCACCCCACTCTGCCATCCAGAAGATATGATAGTGTATTGCTGTACAAATTATTCAATATATTATAGTTGCTTAAAAAATAAAAAAGCATTATTGGAGTAGAGGCTAATTGCTACAAATGCAGTGTAAGATGATTAGGAAGGTAAAAGAAAATGTACAAAGATAAGATAGGGAGTCAGTGTGGGCTACCTTCAAATGTGGAAGTTAGAGATAATGGAGGTCACTAGACTACAAACTTTGTGACTCCACAGGGAACTCATGTTTTAAAAAGTCGGAGTCAAAGGTGATCCTAAGATTTCATGCTTGGGGGTAGAACATGGTGATTCCTTAAGCAAAATGCGCCTTGTTAACTCTTTTGTCCCCAGTATTTAACACAAAGGTATATTGATGATCTAGTGCCACCAAACAAATTACTCCACTATTCAGCAGCTTAAAACAATGCACATTTATCTGGGACATGACTTAGCTGGGTGCCTCTGACTGAAGGTCTCTCTTGAGATTGCAGTTAGGTGTCACCCAAGGCTGCACTTATGTCAAGGCTCAACTAGGGCTTGAGAATTTATATGCAAGCTCAGTCATGTGACTGTTGGCAGGCCTCAGAAATCTCAGTAGGATCCAAACTTAGTCATGTTTTTGCAGGCTGACCTCAGTTCCTTGGCCATGGACCTCCTCCAATGGCTGCCCGGATATCCTCATGACATGGTAGCTAGTAATCAGAAAGAGAAAGACAGGGAATCATAGAGCAACCAAGATGGAAACTACAGTCTTTTTATAACCTAATCTTGGAAGTGACACCCATCCCTTCAACCCGATTCCATTCATTAAAAACATTTCAATAAGTTCAGCTCACATTCCAGGGGAAGGGATTTTACAGGGAATGAATGGGGGAAAAGGGTATCATTGGGGGCTATCTTAGGGGCTGCCTACCACAAAAGTCTAGTGGGCTCTCCACAAATACATGTCCAATTAATCAAAGAGCTAGGAAATAGAGAAACAATAGTAAGATTGGGAGAAAATTTTGTAAGATCAATTTAGTTACATGTTTAATTTTTTGTCCTTGTGTGAGATTATGGCAGACAGTGTATTTACCAAACCCATTTCCTTCTTCCTCTGGGCATACAACTAGACTGCACTTCCAGCCTTGCTTAAAACTTAGATGAGGCCAAGTGCTTGGACCTGGCCAGTGTAAAGTGGGTGTAAATGGTTTCCCTCCTCCCCTATATGCCAGCCAGATGCTGATGTGATGATCCAGTGAAGGCCCCTGAAGACTTTGGGGAAGCCACTAAATGGAAAAGCCTGGGTCCCTGAATGACTGTGCAGAGCAGGGCTCTCCCCAGCCTCCCAACCAACCAATATCTTTGGGAGTGGGGGAAATTTTGAGTTAAGCCACTGAAATTTGGGGGTTATTTGTTGTAATAGACAATATACTATAAGATATTATAAAAATAGAGTAATTAAGACAAAGTGGCATTGACATAGAGATAGGAAATACACCAATAGAATGGAATCTGGAAGCCAGAAACACACCCATACATGTAGTATGATGCAGTTGGCATTGCAGATCAGAGAGGATATAGTGACTTTGTCAGTTAATGATGATTAATTGACTGATTAGCTATGTTTAAGAAATTGAAGATAAATTTCTATCACCATGCACAAAAGCAATCCCACAATGATTTAAATGTCAACACAGCTACTGTTAGTGATCAGTGATCTGTGTGCAAGAAAAAGAAAAGGATAGAGTACAAAATTCCTACAAAGAATTTCTGAAAGTCAAAATTCATACAGTAAATGGCAATTCTGCCAATTTCTGTCAGACCCAGTCAGACACCCGAGGCCTCCCTACAGGACCCCGTCCTGTTTCTGTCACGACATCCACTCTTGCCAGTGACTTGTCAGCCACTGCAAACCCCAAAAGGTCATATTCTCTTCCCCAGCACTCACAGCATAAACTAACCCTTGGTAGTGAGCCCAGGGTCATGTGTTCTCACAGCACACACTAGCCCTGGGTTTGAAAGCCAAAAAGATCAGGAGGTAGAGGGTGTGGGGGCGGCAGCTCAGTGCACAGTTAGCTCTGGGAGGAGAGGAATTTACAACCCTCAGGGCTCCATGAGGAAGACAGGAGACCTCAAAAGGGGTCAGCAGCGCCTCTCCTCATTCCTCAGAGGGTCTCAGGAGTTGTCAGCAGTGTGCTTTGGGTCCTTTGTGGTCACCAGATACTGTCAAAAGACGCAATTACAACAAATTTAGTTTCAAGATCCTAACTGGCTTTTCTTTGCAATTCTAGAATCAGGCAACACTTCATGGTACACTATAGAATATGCTATACAGCAGAGGACTTTGGCTTTCCAGACAGAAAAGGGGTGAGGAAAGCAGTATCAGAGAACAAAACGCGCACTGGTCCTTTCAAAGTTACTTTCCTTGTAAAGATTCAAGCAGAAGGAACTTCCTTACTGTGCCAGCTAAAACTGGCCTGTTTGGGAAATTGCTATTATCTCTCTCTCTCTCTCCTGATTTTTTAGAAGGTCAGATAAACAATGTAGTTTTGGCTTGGTGGCATGAAACTTCAGCATGAGTCGTTCCATTTTGGTTTGGTCTCTCAGGCCTAGTGCAGGAGCTCAGTCCAAACCAATGGCTTCCAGTAAATGTTATTTAACAGTTCCAAGTTCTTGGAGAAGGGAAGGGAGGAAATTTTTCAGAATAGTGTGGCTATAACCACTGGGCGAATGAATGCCTTCAACTACATAAGAGCCTTTTAACTGGTCTTCCTCTAGAGTGAGCCTGCCCCAAAGCATCCTATATGCCACTGCCAAATCTTCCAAAAACATTACTAAGATAATTTTTAATGGTTTCCCATGGCCTCCCAATGTCATAATCTGTCCTCTAGCCATCCTTCTAGACTTATTCCCACATGACAACTTCTGTGCCAGTAAACATGGTCTAGCCGATGTCAGGGAAATGCAGCCTGAACTGCTTCCTTGTTGTGTCTTGATTCATGCCATCCTTCCTCCTTGAAAACTGGAAAATGTACCTGTCTTTCAAGAAAGCTCAGATTACACTTCTTTTGAAATTTCCTGATTATTCCAATTGCAAGCAACAACTATCTGTGAAAAAAACAATTGTCAGGGCCAGTGTCATGGGCCTATACAGTTCACAGGGCCTCAAGAATAAAAGGCCCCATACTTAGTTTACTTCTCTTCTGCTGTCTTGAAATTCTCAATAATTTTTCAGTGAGGGGCCCTGCATTTTCATTATGCTGTGGCCCCACAAATTATGCAGCCAGTCCTGATAACTGTCCCCTGAGGAAAGAACTTGTATCCCTATCTTAAGTGATTTGGGCTGCTCAGATCACGGATATCCAATTCCTCACAGAGTCAGTAACCATGGTACAAAAATATTCACTTCCTCTCCATTTCTGTCTAGTCAATCTATTGAATATCAGGCCAGTTTTATGCAAGAGATCAGTAGGTCCTTAATCCCCCCTTTCTCCCCAGTACAATTATATTTTCAAAAGAATATGCTAACTTAGTCTGTAATTGCCAAGTTTCAGTGAAGGCTTGGAGGCTGGGTCTGATTGCAAGGCTGGCCCTGGGGTTGGTGTGCTGGAGTTTGAGGCAGGAGCAGTGCGGTTTGACTGATTTCCCTAAATTGTTTTGCTTTTCTCTGCTTTTTCTCCTTCTTTATTTCCGTAACCACAGGTTCTCTAAAACACAGGTGTTTCTCTTTTCTCCCAGTGGTTCTCGTCACCACAATAGAAGAGTTTTGTTTTCAGGAAGGAGCAGAGGACACTAAGTAAGAGTGAAGAGCCAGCCAGGGCTGTCTGTGGGTTTTTTTTTTTTAGACAGCGTATCACTCTGTTGCCCAGACTGGAGTGCAGTGGCCTGATCTTGGCTCACTGCAGCCTCGGATTCCTGGGCTCAAGCAATCCTCCCACCTCCCACCTCAGCCTCCCAAGTGGCTGGGACTCCAGGCACATGCCACCACGCCTAGCTAATTTTTATTTTTTGTAGAGACAGGGTCTTACTGTGTTGCTCAGGCTGGTCTTGAACTCCTGGACTCAAACAATACTCCCAACTCCCAAAGTGTCGGGATAATGGGCATGAGCTACCACACCTGGCCCAGGGCTCTCTTAGGGTGTTAAGAGGAAGGTTTTCTTTTTCTCATGAGATTTTAAGTTCTAGGAGCACAAAATGCGTTTTTCATGACTGAGCTTATCTCCTATAGCACTTTGCACATTGTAGGCTCTCAATAGATAGCTTAGGCGTGAAATAAGAAGCAGCTAATACACATATACACCATGGAACACGATGCAGCCATAAAAACGGATGAGTTCATGTCCTTTGCAGGGACATGGATGAAGCTGGAAACCATCATTCTCAGCAAACTAGCACAGGAACAGAAAACCAAACACCTCATGTTCTCACTCATAAGTGGGAGGTGAACAATGAGAACCCATGGACACAGGGAGGGGACCATCACACACCAGGGCCTGTCGGGGGGTGGGGGGCTAGGGGAGGGAGAAATACCTAATGTAGGTGACGGGTTGATGGATGCGGCGAACCACCATGGCACGTGTATACCTATGTAACAAACCTGCACATTCTGCACATGTATCCCAGAACTTAAAGTATAATAATAAAAAAAAAAGCAGCAGCTAATAGACCACACCAGCCATGAGAGGAACCCCTGCCTCCTAAACTCCTCGAGTGCCAAGCACCAGGCCAGGGCTCTTGTGTGTATCCCTCCAGTCAATGAACACACAATTGCCCCCTGAAAACCGCCCCTTTGCTATGCAAATATTGACACGGGAGGTAACGGGTAGATCATAACTATTTATAAGAACCATCTGTGTTTCTAAACAGTCATTTACTTAATATTTTTTAAATTAAGCTAGAATTTCTAAAGAGTATAACAATAAACTTGTTACCTGTTTTGAAACTAATGCGGAGTTTGTATTTACTGGAATTGTGAGCTTTATGCACTTGTTTACTAAAAAGGATATTTTGCATTTTGACATTTTCTTACTTCATCAAAAGCTTTAATGATTTTAAAAAGCAGAAAAGTTACTGATGTGCCTGGAAAAATCCTGAGAAACTAGAGTTAGGAACATTCTCTAGACATGGAAAAGAAGAGATGAAATACACCAAGGGACTGAAATGAAATACAGTGGGGTAAAAGATAGAGGATATTGAGGAACGAAATGAATGACTGGAAAGAAAAAGAAGAAAGGAATGCCACAGGAGTGAGCAAATACAGGTACTGGGTGTGATCAATACTCTGTAGTCATTGGAAAACAGCATCTTGGGAAATTTGTTACAGAACTGAGAACTGCAAGAAGATATTGGCCACCACCACCATGAAGCCCAGCACATCGTTATAATAACTATTAAGATCTGTTAGAACTTCCTGCTACTCCAGTTAATCACGGACTCTTCAGAACAAACCCAGGGCAACACTGCTATGCTATTGACTGAATGTTTGTGTCCTCCTTAAATTCAGATGTTGAAATCCTAACCCCTAATGTAATGGTATTTGGAAGTGAGGACTTTGGGAGGTGATCAGGTCATGAGGACAGAGCTCTCATGATTGGAGTTATGCCTTATAAAAGAGATCCCACCGCGCTTGTTCACCCTTCCACCATGTGAGGACATAGCGAGAAGATGGCTGTCCATGAACCAGGGGGCACTCACCAGACACTGAATCTGCTGGTGCCTTGATGTTGGACTTTTCAGCCTCCAGAACTGTGAGAAATAAACATTTGTCGTTAATAAGCCACCCAGTCTATGGTATTCTGTTATAGCAGCCTGAACAGACAAGACAGACATTGGTACTGAGGATCAAGATGAAAGTACCTGCTCAAGTTCACACAGGTGACAAGCAGCAGAAGTGAGTTTCAAGCCAAGGATGCCTGATGCCACGACCAAGGCCATCTCTTCAGCACTCAGCACTCAGCAGTGGGTGGGCTTTCTGATGAAAGCCCTGGGGAAGGAGAACAGGACTCACAAGGGATGGAGGCTGTAATTTGCAGTGTCTGGCTCTAAATCATGGCGGTCACAGCAAATGTCCTGTACTTGTATTTAGCAAGCACTGTCATTAGAGTTGCCTTCCATAAAGCAAGGATATGAGAGTGTGTCAGTGTGTGCTGGCATGTTATGTGGGGCTTTTAGCTTTAAAAGTAGCACTTGAGCCAGGCGTGGTGGCTCACGCCTGTAATTCCAGCATGTTGGGAGGTCGAGACCAGTGGATCACGAGGTCAGGAGTTTGAGACCAGCCTCGCCAAAGAGACCAGCCTGGCCAATATGGTGAAACCCCATCTGTACTAAAAATACAAAAATTAGCTGGGCATGGTGGCAGGCACTGTAATTCCAGCTACTTGGGAGGCTGAGGTCGGAGAATTGCTTGAACCCGGGAGGCAGAGGTTGCAGTGAGTCAAGATCGTGCCACTGCACTCCAGCCTGGGCAACAGAGGGAGACTCTGACTCTAAATAAATAAATAAATAAATAAATAGCACTTGAGCCCTGGAGGTCAAGGTTGCAGTGAGCTGTGATTGCATCACTGGTTTGTAGCCTGGGCAACAAAGTGAGACCCTGTCTCAAAAAAAAAAAAAAAAAAAAAAAGAACTCTCTATAGTTTGTGTATTAGTCAGGGTTCTCTAGAGGGGACAGAACTAATAGGATATATACACAAACACACACACACACACACACACATATATATATATACATATATATATGAGTTTTTTAAGTATTAACACACATGATCACAAGGTCGCACAATAGGCCACCTGCAAGCTGAGGAGCTAGGAGAGCCAGTCTGAGTCCCAAAACTGAAGAACTTGAAGTCTGATGTTCAAAGGCAGGAAGCATCCAACACAGGAGAAAGATGTAGGCTGGGAGGCTAGGCCAGTCTATTCTTTTCACGTTTTTCTGCCTGCTTTATATTCTAGCTGTGCTGGCAGCTGATTAGATGGTGTCCACCCAGATTAAGGGTGGGTCTGCCTTCCCCAACCCAGTGACTCAAATATTAATCTCCTTCGTCAACAGGCTCACAGACACACCCAGAATCAATACTTTGCATCTTTCGATCCAATCAAGTTGACACTCAGTTTTAACCATCACAGTTTGTAACTTGAGCAATGACACATGAACTAGCAAAATGTCCTATATCCACTGTTACTTCTTTGTGCCCAATCACTGAATGCCAGTACGTCTCCAAGGACTCACGCCAGCCTGTCCTTAACAGGTCAAAGAATTAAAACAATATCCTAGGGCAAAGTTTCATGAGACACCAGGGATCCTACAGGCTGGGACTTCATTTGGGAAGCCAACTGGTGAGCCAATCTTCTCTTGCTGCCCTCACCTCACAGCTCAGTCCTTCTGGGAGTCGGAACTACCCAAACTCAGCAAACAGTCTAGTATAGAACCTTGAGCAAACGGTTCCTGTTCCAGCCTAACACCGCCTGCTGCTGCCACCTCTGCCATCCATGCAGCCTCCCTAGCCTCCAGTCTCTCTCTGCCCATGCCAACTGTCCCTTCCTGGACTGCTCAGGTCCTAGCAGTCAGATTTCTGCTCAATTTCTAGTTCTGGACACTATGTCCCGTTACTGTTTACGGCTCTGTGTCTCCCAGACGATGGAGAAAGAAATGTGACTTAGTCAAAATGGAACAAAAATGAAAACCAACCAATCAGCTAACCAACTAAAACAAACATAATTTTAAAACCATACACTTTTCATACATACATTCAGCTAGTCTAATGCCAAGGGGAAACCTTATAGGAAAAAACCTCTCCTGCTTCTCTTTATTCCTATAAAGATTCTTCAGAGCACTTATAAAAGCACCTGGCACATTAGACATTTATTTGTAGTTTATTGACTTCCCCCACCCTCTACAGATTGTTAAGTTCTAAGAGAGCAGGGACTTTTGTCTCCCTCACCTGTAACAGCATCCAGTCCAAGGTGAGGACGTCATACGTTTATTAGGATTGGAATGGCACCAGCTGCACTCCTTTCCACGTTTATTTTCAAGGTCACCCCAAGGTTTTCTTTAACCTCATTAAATTCATGCCCTAAAGTGAGAGGAGGTATCCCCTTGTGCCAGACCCAGGCTGACTCTGTATTGTTACACATTATTCTCATCCTCCGATCCTTACATTAGGTGACCATCACACATTTTCACTCCGTTCCACATTAGTTCCCATAGTTGCACTTTCCCATGCTAGTTTCCCATTAGTTGACCAAGCATTTAGTTGGGCTCTGAGCTCTTAAAAACCAAAGGAGAATCTAATTTTGAATAAAAACACCTGGCCATACTGAACAAACGCAGGGAAGAGGTGGTGGTCATTATTTTCCTGTCCCCCCAGCTGTGTGGCTGGACGAAGCTTCCTGTGAATCCTAATCACTTTACCTCCTGTGGCATGATTCAAAAAAAAAAAAAAAAAAAGCAGCTAGAGTACAAAGCCTAAACAGAGTGGCTCTGTTGCTCTGCCTCCAGGTCTTTTTCTTTTGAAAGTGCAATCTAGTAATAACCAAACGCAGTCTGCAAATGCAAATCCAATTGCTTAACTAATTGTGTTCTCACCCCTGGAGTAATGGAAGTTCATGCTGTAGAAGAAAATCTGAACTTAGCATGGCCCAGGGTTCTGGGTTCTGGGTTCTAAAGGCAGGCCTGCGTAGAGAATCAACTCTAAGGAAGCTCGCTCAAAGGACGGAGGTGGACAGAAGAGAGATATGCATGGTTGATCAAGTGGGAGCAGAAGACAAACGCCACCACCGGGTGCAGTGGCTCACGACTGTAATCCCAGCACTTTGGGAGGCTGAGGCAGACGGATCACTTAGGATAAGGAGTTTGAGACCAGCCTGGCCAACGTGGCAAAACCCTGTCTCTACTAAAAATAAAAAATAAAAAATAAAAAAAAACTTAGCCAGGCATGGTGGCAGGTGCCCGTAATCCCAGCTACTGCGGAGGCTGAGGCAGGAGAATCACTTGAACCTGGGAGGCGGAGGCTGCAGTGAGCCGAGATTGGGCCACTGCACTCCAGCCTGGGTGACAGAACAAGACCCAGTCTCTCTCTCTATATACAAATATATTCTATGAAAGTGGGTCTCCTCTATAACATTCATGAAGTAATGTTGATTTTGACTGACGTATATAAAAATAAAACTCCTAAGTTTAGCAGTATTTACTGGAGATATACTACCCAATTCATTACTAAAAATGTGAAAAAGATTTTAGTTATGTTCAAGATCCCTTCGGTGTGGCTTATTGTGAAAGTGCACATGTTTATCTCTTTTTTTTTTTTTTTTTTTTTGAGTCGGAGTCTTGCCCAGGCTGGAGTGCAGTGGCTCGATCTCGGCCCACTGCAACCTCCGCCTTCCGGGTTCAAGTGATTCTCCTGCCTCAGCCTCCTGAGTAGCTGGGACTACAGGCGCGTGCCACCATGCCCAGCTAATTTTTGTATTTTTAGTAGAGACGGGGTTTCACCATGTTGGCCAGGATGGTTTCGATCTCTTCACCTCGTGACCCGCCCGCCGCAGCCTCCCAAAGTGCTGGGATTACAGGCGTGAGCCACAGCGCCCGGCCATGTTTATCTCTGTTTATGTACTTTTTCATTTGTTTTTCACAGTCTTGCTCTTTTTAAAACAACAACAACAACAAAAAACTTCTAGAAATGAGGTCTCACTATGTTGCCCAGGCTGGTGTTGAACACCTGGGCTTAAGCAATCCTTCCACCTTAGCCCTCCACCATTACTTCTAAAAAATAAAACCAGGGTTATGAAATTGTTCTGGTGGGAAAAGCTTGAAGTCTCTAGTCTTCTTGCTTTCATGGTGCTGGGTGCCCAGGATGACTATTTGCATAGGATTTGCCAGATGAGCATGTGGAAAGGCCTGTCTTCACAGGTGTGCCCCTAACTTTGCACCTTCCTATCAAGGGATGCATTGTTGAACGGCTGCAGAGAGAGCTGTACCCAGCCTTCACATTTAAAAGAATATGGAAAACTCATTACTTATGACATTGCCTGAGTTCAAATCCTGGCTTTTCCACATACTAGTGTGTGCTCTTAGCCAAGTTATTTCTTCCATTGTTTATTAAAATATAACTGCTGTTTTTAAATGAAGTCATATATACACATGGTCAAAAACTCTGACAACAGGATCTGGCGAATCTTTCTCAGAAATTTTCTAGGAATGTGTCACATATTTCCTTTTTTTTTTTTTTTTTACATAAATGTACCATACATAATGTTCTTTTTATCTTTCTTAACACCTCTTAGAATATTATCATTTTCTTACGGGCTTCCTAGTATTTTTGTTTGAATGGATGTATCTTATTTACTGAAACAGTCCTGTTAACAAACACATAGGTTGCTTTCTGGTTGGAGTTATTACAGAACAATCTTTGATGAACATCTTTGAACACTTGTACAAGTGTTTGACAGGATAAATTCCCAGGAGGGCTGCTGGGTCCAAGGCTACGGTCATTTTCGATTTGAATAAGTATTACCAAATGGGCAAGTTATTTAAGTGATCCCTGAGTCGCTCTTCTTTGTAAACAGTGGACAATAATGAGTTTCTCAAATGTTTCTTATAAGGATTAAATGAGATGGGGATGTGGAAGCCTAGTATACAGCAAGCAGGCCGTCAATGAATGTTGGCCTCCCAATATTTTTTTTTACGGAGAAAGACAACTATTTATGCATATTATGATGACTATAGCTTAACCATGAGCTCAACAAACACAAAAATTCACAGAAAATTCTGCAATACCGTATCTATTTTAAACCCCATTATTGAATATAACTAGTGAAATCTCAGGTCAAATAGAATGTATTTAAGAAGACACAAACTTGACATTAAACACCAGAGATTTACATTTGATAGTTGTCTCTTCTTACAAATATATCCCTCATAATAATAAAAAAGCACTCCACTAGTATGCCAATTAAGACACATCTTCCAGTCGTGTTTTGTCCTTGAGTGAAAAATCTTGCTGCTCAATTCAAGTCATTCGTTTATTCATAACACCCATATATATATCTCCAACTCTGGAAAGAAACACTGACAGAAAGATGGAAAATTTTAGAGACCTCGTTTCCACTTCAGAGAGCCTGTTGTCCCCCAAACCTCTCGGGCCCTCCGGTATTTTTAAGCTTATCAAGATTCCAGAATGAGGTTAACGGGGCGTCACAGAACGAAACCCCCCACCGTCCCGTCCCAGGGGCTTCAAGCCAGGACCCCGGCCTGAGGGAGCCTCCGGGCAGGAGGAAGAGGCCCAGGAAGCCATCGCTCCGCTCCTTCCCAGCTGTTTATGTGGTACTCAGGGTACTCGGCCAAGGGCACGGCGACCCCGCAACACCCCAGGCGTGGGGCAAAGACAGCGGGGTTGCGGGGCTCCTGTCTGCCCGGGGCGTCGAGAGTTCCTGCCGCCCCCTCCCGCCTCATGCACGGAAAGCGCCGAGCCACGGCGTGCGGCGCCGGCCGAGCGTGAACCGGAGTCGGGGTTCGGCTACCCCGAGCGGCTCTGTGGGCCGCGGATCGCTTCCCCTGGGGCGGCCACGCAGGGTTGCGGGCCATGGCCTGGGGCGCCCGTCCGGACCCCGCCGCTGCGCGGGACGCCGCTCCCAGCCTCGACCAAGGGCGCCCGGGGGCGGCGGCGGCGGCGGCGGCGGTGACTGCCCGGGGCGGCGGCGCGGCGCGGGGGCGGCCAGGAGGCGAGGAGGCCGGGCCGCGGCCGAGGGCCCAGGGCGCGCTTCCGGCGGGCGTCGCGCGCGCCGCGGTAAATGGGAGGCTCGGCCGACAGGGGCGGGGGCCGCGCAGCCGGGGACTTTCAGGAACTGCAGGAGCGTGCGGCGCGGGAGTAGCCGAGCGCCCAGCGGCTGGGCCTGAGCGTCGAGACTCGGGGCCGAGGCGGAGGAGCGGCCGCCGCGCCGGGGCCCAGCCGGAGCCGCCGCCCTCGCCCTTGCCTTTGCCTGCGCGGCTCAGAATCACCATCCGCGGCGCGGGAGACGAGCCGGCCGTCCCGGGCCGGGGGACCCGCCCGCCATGGCCACCAAGGTGAGGGGCGCGCGGCGCAGGCCGGGCCGGTCGCTCAGGCCCGGGGCGGCGCGGAGAGGGTCGGGGCCGGGGCCGCGGGGAGGGTCGGGGCCAGGGGTGGTCGAGGGGCCACTCCGCTTCCTCGGTGGAGTCCCCGGGCGGGTCCGCGGCCCAGCCAGTCCCTTCTGGGCATGGGTGCGGCGGGCAGTGCAGACAGACCACCAGGATCGCACCGGGGGACGGCGTCGGGTCTGGGCGCGGGTTGGGACCCCGGGCGCAGCGAGGTTTGGGAAGTTTGCACCTGAGCGTGGGCTGCGGCGGGCTCGCCGGGAGGGGCCGCGGGACGGAAACTTCCCGCAGCCCGGGGAGGCCCCCGAGGCGACTGGCGCTCTGTGGCGTCCGGCGTCCCCGCCGCCCCCACGTCCCCTCCCGCTGCCGCCTGGGGGACCCTCGCCCCCGCGGGGCGGGTGGGGGTCGAGACCTCGGCGGAGAGGACGCGGCGCTTCCCGTCCCGGCCTGCGGGGGCTCGCGGCCGGGGAGGGACCGAGGCTGGGACGCCCCGCGCCCCTTTGCCTTCGCTGCTGTTATTTTTTTCTTTTGTTTTGCTACCTTTTCATTGTGAATGGCATTGCCGGCATGAATAAAATATCAAGAGGGAAATGACTGTGCTTTCGATTACGTGTTTGCCTGAAAAAAGGCCCAGGCCCGAATTACGTGGTGGAACTTTGACTCCTGCTTCGTCATTGGCTAGGAGCGGTGGTTTGCTTGTTTTACGTTATTGTTTATGAAATTAGCAGTCACTCTTGGCTACCTGAATTTTCAAAAGCCACCCTCCCCCGCTCCTTTTCCTTGGGCGTTTTCAGTAGTTACTTGATGTAGAATAGCCACTGGGGAAGTCACGGTCACGGAAGGGAGGACCTGGGGGAGGAGGCTCTATACCTGAGCCATTAACTGATCTGTGATACACTGTGAGGAGTGGGTTTACTTTTGCACTTAGTTTTTGTAATGTCACTTTGTTAGCATCAGCACCCCTTTGTCTATTTGTTTTTGAGATCTCTGAGCTACTTTTGGGTTGCTAGAAACGTTATTTTTTATTTTTCGATAGGTGTTTGCTTTTTTTGTGGAGTGTTAAGGTAGAAAATGGTAAGAAATGTGAAATCTCTTTGAAAGATCAGCATTGCTTGACTTCGGTCTGCTAGATGTTGTGCTGTGGTAAATTTTGTGCTCTGAATCCATCTAGGTGCAGCGTTTGTAGAGAAATGGGGATTCTCCTCCAGGGAACCTGTTGCTGCTGTTACTGAAATAATTACCTTCTTGTTAATATATTATTGCCTGTGCTGTGCTTTGGTTTTATTAATGCGATAGAACTTGCCACCTTTTTAACGTATTAATTTTGTGTTGACCTTTTTAAAAATAAAACTTAGGCCAAGGATTTCTAAGGAAATTTGATTTTGAGGTTTGTTGCCAGACATTCCAGAAATTACCAGTTACACATCCTAGTACATGCTCATCTTGCAACCTTAAAAGCGGTTTATAGGCCGGGCGCGGTGGCTCACTCCCACCTGTAATTCCAGCACTTTGGGAGGCCGCGGTGGGTGGTTCACCTGAGGTCGGGAGCTCGAGACAAGCCTGGCCAATATGGTGAAACCCTGTCTCTACTAAAAATACAGAAATTAGCTGGGCGTGGTGGCGCGCGCCTGTAGCCCCAGCTGCTCTGGAGGCTGAGGCAGGAGAATCGCTTGAACCCGGGAGGCGGAGGTTGCAGTGATCCGAGATCGCGCCACTGCACTCCAGCCTGGGCGACAGAGCGAGACTCCGTTTGAAAAAAGAAAAGACGAGACTCCGTTTGAAAAAAGAGAAGACGGTTTATGACATAGAGATCTGTCTAGTGGTGGTCAGTGTGTTTTTACACTCTGGTCTACTGAGGCATGTTATCTGTACTGTCCTTTAAGTGGAATGCAGTTTAGCAACTAGTGCAGGTATATATAGTGAAATTTTTATTTCATAGTTAATCCTGAACTTAATTTTTTTCCAAAAAATCGAAAAGTGGTTCTTGTATATTAATCTCGAATTGCATGTGTCTTTGATTAAACACGAGCCTTAAAGCATGCGTAAGGACTTCCTACTTCGTTATCTACACCACTCCAAAGGCAAATTCCAGTAGTTCTGTTAGTTTCTTTCGGCTGCCTAATCACTGTTCCACATGGTGCTCATTTCCATGTTTACATTGTGACAAACCATTTCCATTTTAAGAAAAAGAAGAGCAACGAAGCAGTTATTAAAAGAAGACCCTTCCTTTGTTTTCTGACATGCTGGTGATTCTTGTGTCAAACCAAAGTCTCATTTTTTAATTGTTCCCAGAGAGTCAAGTTGGTGCTTTCCTCCCTTCCCCCATATGCACACTCCTTCCCCACACCTGAGTAGTTGTGTTTTTTCTTTGTCTTCTTCAAGGGGTGGGGAGAATGTGCTTAGTAGTAATGACTAACTTTTAATAAAAATGTAGGCTCCAGTGGCACTCAGGCTGTTGCTATAAGTATTAACTGATGAAAAGTAAATTCAGTATCTGGATATTTTAAGGGATGTCGATTTCCCTTTGAATTTATCAGAGACTTGGCTATAGTATCTTCAGATACAATTTTCTTGTTTGTTCTTACGTATTAAGGATGTGGTTATCACTGAACTATTGGGATTTTTAAAAACTCCACTACTATATTTTACAATAAAAAAGGAAATTATCTTTTAGAAGAAGAACTTTAGTTTGACAGTCCTTCACTGCTAAAGAAAGTTAATCAGGGTCGGGCGCCGTCTCACGCCTGTAATCCTAGCACTTTGGGAGGCCGAGGCGGGCGGATCACGAGGTCGGGAGATCGAGACCATCCTGGCTAACACGGTGAAACTCCATCTATACTAAAAATACAAAAAAAATTAGCTGGGCGTGGTGGCGGGCGCCTGTAGTCCCAGCTACTCGGGAGGCTGAGGCAGGAGAATAGCGTGAACCCGGGAGGCAGAACTTGCAGTGAGCCGATTTTGCGCCACTGCACTCCAGCCTGGGTGACAGAGTGAGACTCCATCTCAAGAAAAAAAAAAAAAAAAGGAAAGTTAATCAGTAACTGCACATTTTAAGGGGATTATCTATTTTCTATTTCTACTCCTTACTCAGTAGAGTGCTGCATTCAGTTTAAGTGTATACACTCACTCAGTGCAATCAAGTCTTGTTTTACAAATATTAATACAAAAGCTGCAGAGCATTTTAGTCTTGACCTTTATTGGAAGCCTCCAAAGGTTATATTTCGACCCAGCCAAAATATAACCTATTTATATTATAGGTTTTATATATATATGATATATAAATATATTATATTATATATATATATTATATTTTATATATAAATATATATTATATTTTATATATATATTATATTTTATATATAAATATATATTATAGTTTATATAATATATAAATATATATTATAGTTTATATAATATATAAAATATATTATAGTTTATATAATATATAAAATATATTATAGTTTATATAATATATACATATATATTATAGTTTATATAATATATACATATATATTATAGTTTATATAATATATACATATATATTATAGTTTATATAATATATAAACATATATTATAGTTTATATAATATATAAACATATATTATAGTTTATATAATATATACATATATATTATAGTTTATATAATATATACATATATATTATAGTTTATATAATATATAAACATATATTATAGTTTATATAATATATAAACATATATTATAGTTTATATAATATATAAACATATATTATAGTTTATATAATATATAAACATATATTATAGTTTATATAATATATAAACATATATTATAGTTTATATAATATATAAACATATATTATAGTTTATATAATATATAAACATATATTATAGTTTATATAATATATAAACATATATTATAGTTTATATAATATATAAACATATATTATAGTTTATATAATATATAAACATATATTATAGTTTATATAATATATAAACTTATAGTTTATATAATATATAAACTTATAGTTTATATAATATATAAACATATAGTTTATATAATATATAAACATATATTATATTATAGTTTATATAATATATAAATATATATTATATTATAGTTTATATATATATGAGATATATAAATATATAATACATTGTCAGTCATCCTGTTTTATTTAAAAGATCAAGTTCTGGAAAAGAAATGAAGAATTTTTTTTCAGTGTCTGTCAAAGGGGACATGAAGAAAATTGTTAGTGGAGGTTAATCCATATCTATATAATTTAGCTGTAATTTCTACGTCAAAGTTAACCTTCAGTCACTAATTTGGATCCTTTTGTGCTTACATAGTCACCTTTAGGCTAACTATAACAAGATTCTAGGAGTTCCTGATGCTTTTTTTTTTTTTTTAACTCTTCGGTTCCAATACCTAAAGTTATACACATGTGTTACACAGCTTGTCTGGTTAAATTAAGTGGGTATGGAATGTTAAAAATAATGGTAGGGAATAAATGAATTACTTAAGACTTGTTTATTCCATGCATAGATTAGTGAGAACAATTCAGAAGGCATACTTTGTAGCCCCTCCAGAGCAGAAACTTCTTTATTTGACGACTAGAATAGAAATATCTTTCTAACAGGTCTTAAGGATTAAAGTTGATTTTTATGGCTTTTAAAATGTTTGGAAAATGCTAACCATTTAACTTTGTATAACAGTAGTATTTTCTATGTGTCTTAAGTAGAGTGTGCAGTATTTGTATAGTCAAAGATAAGTTCTGTGACAGTAGAAAGATGAACAAGTCTCATTAAAGAAGGAATAGATTAGAAAGCATAAAAATGTTGCAGTTTTTCTACTGTGCCTTGTTTTTATATTGACCATCTGAAAATTAAATTATAGTTTTACTTTAATTGTCCACTTAAAACTTTGTAGCTTTGCAGTACTGCTGTTTCTTTTCTGGAATGCTGTTCTCCCTTGTCCTTCCCTAGGTACTTTGTTTTTAGATGTTAAGTTTTTATGATTATGATTATTATTATTTTTTTTTTGGAGACAGGGTCTCACTTTGTCATCCAGGCTGGAGTGCAGTGGCACGAACACAGCTCACGGCAGTCTCGACTTCCCTGGCTCAGGTGATCCTTCCACCTCAGTCTCCCAAGTAGCTGGGACTACAGGTGTGCACCACCATGCCCAGCTACTTTTTGTATTTTTTGTAGAGATGGGGTTTCACCATGTGTCCTGAACTGAGGTGATCCTTCCTCCTCAGCCCCGCAAAGTATTGGGATTACAGGTTTGAGACACTACGCCTGGCCACATATTAGGTCTTAATGCGTCTAAGCATCACTTCCCCGGGAAAGCCTTTCCTGATGTCCCCGCCCCTGTTTCAGGGTCACATTACACACCCCGACTGCCATTTTATATTTGTTTCTATAACTGATGGCTGGCTCCTTTGAATGCTGTCAGCCTCAAGAAGCTGAGACTGTTTGTGATCACTTTTGTATCTTCAATGACAAGTTTAAAAGAGCAAAAATATATTCTAGTGAGATAAGTGACTCGATTATTGAAGTAGAAAACTATTAATCCCCAGCTGTAAGCTTTTGTTCTTTTAATCATGTGTTTTAGTGTATTTGTTAAAAGTGTATACAGGTACAACACAAAATTTACATCTGCAGCTTAGGTATTGGCAATTATATTTTTTAAAACATAATCAATTTTACTAATGATTACATGAGAAATTGCCTGATGTTTTAAGGTAGTTGGAACAAGCTTCATATTTCTGAGACTTTAAAGAGTTGTCTTTAACCTACAAGTTGTCAGAATTGTCTTTAATTTCCAAATGTATTGGGTTTTTCTCTTTCTTGTTGGTGATTTCTAACTTGATTGCATTGTGATCAGGGAGCCTAATTAAAATCAATACTGTACCTGGAAATTTGTTGAGGCTAACTTTATTCCCAGCATACAGTCAGCTTTTATGTTTCACCTGTGCACAAAAAGAGTATACATATTATTGATGTGTGTGTCTATTCTGTATGCTCTATGTCCACTAGACTTACTGTGCTGTTTATATGTATATCCTTACTAATTGTGTTCCTCTATTTGATCTGTTGTATCTAACTGATCCTCTGTCTACTTGATGGTGATGCTAAAATGGTGAATTTAAAAATTTTCTCTACATTTACAATTAGTATTATTTTCTAGGTGAATTGAAGTTTTTATCATTATGAAGTGAACCTCTTTACCTCTGGTAATGCATTTTTTCTTAAAGACTATATTTCTAATGTTAATGTGATTTCACTAGCTTTTGGTAAATATTTCCCAGATATATAAAAGCCAATAGCTGAATTTTACCTTTTTATCCAGTCTGATCTTGGTGCCTGCCTGTACAGCATTGTGTTTACTGATATATTTGGATTTCTGTCTACCATCTTATAGATTGTAGGAGCCCACTCCCAACTTTGTGGAAGGTTTGTGTTATAAGTCTCTTTTTTCCAGTGGTTATCATAAGGATGTTAACATTAAAGTCTGAAATTACTTAATATCATTAGCCTTTTCCTGAATTACAAAAAGACATAAGGTTATTTAACTCCAGTCATCTCCCCCAATATGATCAATTATTGCCCAGTATTTTAGTTATATCTTTTTCACCACAAATTGAACATTATTTTTATACAGTTAAATGTTTTAGATCTAATCATATTGTACTGTGTCTTTGCTTACTGTTTCTTCTTACATTTCAGTCTTTTCTTGAGATAATTTCCCTTCCATCTAAAATGAATTGGAATTTCCATTGAGAAGGTATGTTGTTGGTAAATCTCTTATATGTCTCTTAGGTATGAAAATTACCCTGGTCTTGAAAGAGTTCTAGGTTGACAGCATTTTCTCCTAGTACAATGAAGGTATTCTTCCTTTGTTTTCTACTGGCTTTGACATTTGCTGCTGGGAAGCCAGTTAGCTAATTATTGTTCCTTTGTCCGTGGTGTGACTCCTCACTGGCTGTTTTTAACTTTCTCAGTTTTAGTATTTTGCAGTTTGACTGTAGTGTGTCCATGTGTGGATTTTAGTTGCACAGCTTGGGTTTCCTGGGTATCTTGGATCTGAGGACAGGTGCTACGTTAGTTCTAGAACAGTGCTGTTCAGTGTACTCTTTGTGATGATGTTCTACATCTGTGCCGTCCATATGGTAACTGCCTGCCTCTTGTGGCTAACAAGAACTTGAAATGTGGTTAGTGTGACTGAGGAACTGTGTTTAAATTTTAATTTCAGTAGCCACATGTGGCTAATGGCTACTTTATAGGTGAGTGCAGCTCTAGAAAATTCTCAGCGGTTATTCATGAAAATTGCCTTTTCTCCATTCTTTCTTTCTGGAACTCTAGTAACATGAAAAGGACCGATGGAAATCTAACTTCCCATCTGTCAACCTGTCATGTTTTCTTTGTGCTACATTCTGGATGATTTCATTTGTTCTTACCTTCTGTTCACTATTCTTTCCTCAGTCAGGCCAAATCTGCTCTTTTATTCATCCATTTAATTTTCAGTTTCGGTTATCTTCTATTTTTAGAAATTGTATTTGGTTCTATTTCAAATCTGCTTATCATTCATTATAGTTTCTGGTTCTTTGCTCATATTTTTAAGCTTCTCTTAAGCATGTCAAAACATTAATAGTTTTCCGTCCTAATCTCAGAAGTCTGATTCAGCCATCCGTTTCTGCACATTCTCACTCATGGTGCTTTGTTTTCTTGTGTGTTTTGTGATTTGATTTGATTTTTCCTTGAGTTGCTTGTTTTCCTTGGAACTTCCTCTGTGGGAATCCTATTACCTAGATTGAGGTTGTATCCTTCCAGGGAGGATTTGTGTGTGCTGATACCAGTCTCCTGGGGACATTACATCCTTGGAGTCACTATATCTTTAATTCCTGGCTTAATGTTTTCTCAGCCATACTGGGTAGAATAAATATGGACCTGGCATCTCAGGAGAAATTTTCCTCATCCCCACTACTCTGTATCAATGATGAGACATTTCCTTGCACACAGGTTTTCCTCTTTACCCTTATGCTGAGGTCCTTTTGGAGTCCCAGCTTGTAGCTTAATACAGGACACTTTGTGTGTTGCCTCCCCTGCCCCCACACAGTCCCCAGAGCACAGAGCCAGGCTCCCAGGTTTGTGGAGTCTCCCAGCGGGAAATCCTGCCTCAGCACATGTGTTCTCCCAGGGTTTCTGCTTTCACTTCCTTTGTGGCCTCTCCGGAGCCTTTCCTTTTGTGCTAACTCAGCAGTGTGTTTCAAAAGGTGTTTAGTTTGTATCTTTTGCTTTTAATATTTTATTCAGCACTTCAGTTGTTTCAGTCTGGCAGTGGCTCAGGTATTAGCTTGCTCTAGTTGCTGGAACAAAATCCAAGTCAGAGCATCTTTATAGCAGACTGTCAAGTGAAGGGAGTGGAATATGTGCATGAAAGTGTTAATCTGATCTTTGCAGAGGGAAAGGTCAAAAAGTTGTTAAGCATTTTGGTTGAAACCAAACCTTCAGTCAAGCTGTCAAACTGTGGGCATTTCAAAACTTTCCAATTGATATTTCTTTGTCATTTTTCTTTTGACTATTAAAAGCACATGATAGACTACTTACTAATTTCTAGGCATTGTAAATGCAGTGTTTAAGGATGCTATTCAGTCTGACTGAATTTTTCTAAGTTATTTGTAGTATCTGAAAATCGAGTCATATGGTATTATTACCCACAGGGACAGTACTCAGAAGTCACAGATTTGTGATTGTTCATTAAGTCAGACACTTAACTTTAGGGATAAATTAAAGAGGGGGAAATGCAGCTTCATTCTGTTGCCTATCACCCGTTGTCATCCACAACTCATTCATTTGAACTTCAGATGTGCCAGGTCCTCTGGGATGTCAGTATGAAAGGCCTGTCCTTGTACTCAAAGGGCACAATGTCTTGAAGGAGGGCAGGCTGTCTGCAGGGGCACAGTGCAGGCTCCTGGCACAGTTCCTCAAGCCCAGAGGCTTTCAAAGGACCCAAGTCTTGAAATGTCTGTGTATTAGTCTGTTCTCATGCTGCTATGAAGAAATACCCGAGGCTAGGTAATTTATAAAGAAAAGAGATTTAAATGACTCACAGTTCCAAAGGGCTGGAGAGGCCTCAGGAAGCTTACAAATCCATGGTGGAAGGGGAAGCAAACATGTCCTTCTTCACATGGCAGCAGGAAGAAGTGCCGAGCAAAAGGGGGAAAACCCTTATAAAACCATCAGATCTTGTGAGAATTCATGAGAACAGCATGGGGGTAACTGCCCCCATGATTCAATTACCCCCACCAGGTGCCTCCCACAACATGTGGGGATTATGGGAACTACAATTCAAGATGAGATCTGGGGAGACACAGCCAAACCATATCAGTCTGTTACTTAGTACTTTGAGTGAGTTTTAAACCTTACTCTATCACTTCAGTTGCTTCAAAAATACTTCCATAGTACAGCTCCACAGTCTGCAAGTCCAGACTTTGCCTTGTCAGATCCCAGATATTCAGTTCAGCAGACATTTCAGTAGCTATTTTGTGCCACTTGGATGCTGGGAATAAAGATTTGGATCCTCCCTAGGACAGTTGACATTCAGATATTAATGAATTGGTGTATTTAAAATGTGCGAGTTTAAATGTATTTCCTAATTTAAATTCACAGAAAAAGGCTTGAAAATTTAGACGTATGTATAAATAGTTGCCTATTGCATAGTGGCTGCACATAAGAAGTTTTTTTATGTTTTAGTTTGTTTTATAGTCTCAAGATTTTAAGTAATGAATATTTGCTGCTTTTGTAACAAGGAAAAAAAAGATTTTTTTTTAATTAAAAACTTACTGTCTTTAGGCCTCTAAAGCAGATTCCCAAACTTATATACCTTCTGTTAATTTGTTTCAAATTGTACTAGGTTGGAAAAATTTTTTAATGCTTACACATAGTAAGGGCACTTCAATAGAAGAATGCTAATGCATTCAGGATTACAAATATTATTTTGTAATTTTCTTAAGTATGGTACTTAAGGAAATTTTCTTCTTCCAGGGGAAAAAAAGAGTATGTTTTAAAAGTAGCTTTAAAACATAACTGAAAACTTACTGAACAACTAGCACTGAATCTGAAGGTGTTACAAATTGCTGTTTCATAAATACATTGGTAATTTTACCTGCCACCATGTGCCTTCTCCCTCAGGAGCTTAGAAGAGGCAGGGTGGTTAATTCTTTGTGGTTAGGCAGGGTTTCCAGCACTGCACTTCTCCTCCCGCCTTCCTAAACCATGACTCAGATTTTAGAGTCAAGAGTTGAATAATATGATTTTACAGTTGTTTTGTTGATGCATCAGATTTACTTTGTCCCGTGACTATCTACCAGTATTGCCGAACTGAACTGGGTCCATTTGCCCATGTAGTGGAAAGCCAAACACTGAAGCACCAGGTTTTTGTAGTGAGAGAGGCTTATTGCCAGACAGCTGAGCAAGGAGACAGGAGTTGGACTTAAGTCTGTCTCTCCACGCTGGGGGCTACGTCAGGTTTTGTACTTAGAGGTAATGAGGCGTGATCTGATTGGATCTTGCAGTGGGGTGATGCTGGAGGCATAATCTGACTGGATCCTGCCATGGGGTGACACCAGGGCTTGATCTGATCGGATTTTGGATCCTGCCATGTGGTGTCCACTGTGGTTTTTTTTTTTTTTTTTTTTTTTTTTTTTTTTTTTGAGTCAGGGTCTCTCTTCTGTTGCCCAGGCTGAAGTGCAGTGGTGCAACCTCCACTGACTGCAGCTCAACCTCCTGGGCTCCAGCGATCCTCTCACCTCAACATCCTGAGTAAGCTGACACCACAAAGTGCGTGCCAGCACACCTGGCTAATTTAAAAGAATTTTTTTTTTTTTTTGTAGAGACGGGGTCTCAGTCTGTTCCTCAGGCTGGAGTGCAGTGGCATGATAATAACTCACTGCAGCCTTGAACTCCTGGGCTTAAGTGATTCTCCCACCTCAGCCTCACAAGTAGCTTGGACTACAGCTGTGTGCCACCCCCCCGGCCAATTTTTTAAATTTTTTTTTCTTTAGTAGAATTGAGGTCTCGCCATGTTCCCCAGGTTGGTCTCAAACTCCTAGGCTCAAACGATCCTCCTGTGTCAGCCTCCCAAAGAATTGTGATTACAGCCTCCCAAACTGTTAGTGTCCACTTCTTAATTCAGTGCTCATTCCTCATGCCCATTCCATTCCAAGTGCCCATCTGAGCACGTGGGTTCTATCCATGGCTGCACACTTAGTTTTGGGCATGCTCTGGTGATGTGACGTTCAACCTGGAGGTCCATGCCAACTGAAAAGCAGCTCATAACTTTGTTACATAAAAGTTGAACCAGATTAGTCTGATGCAATTCCAACAGTATGTAAAGCGTATTCAATGTCCTTGCAACCCCTAAAAGCTCCAAAACCCTAGGAAATCAATACCCGTTAGGTTACTGAGATCTGTGGTTACAATAGGTTGAGCTGTCTGAATCATCTAAAGCCAAGATGATACCAAAAAGTATAGACATTTTAAATTTAATTTTATTTTTGAGACAGAGTCTTACTTTGTCACCCAGGCTGGAGTGCAGTGGCATGATCTCAGCTCACTGCAACCTCCACCTCCTGGGTTCAAGCAGTTCTCCTGCCTCAGCCTCCCAGGCAACTGGGATTACAGATGTGTGCCACCACGCTCAGCTAATTTCTGTATTTTTAGTGGAGATGGGGTTTCACCATATTGGCCAGCCCAGTTTCAAACTCCTGACACCAAGTGATCCACCTGCCTCGGCCCCTCAAAGTGCTGGGATTACAGGCGTGAGTCACCATGCCCAGCCAAGATTTTTAAAATATTCTAATATTTACTTCTATTAGAGTTCAATTACTATATAATGACCAAAAGCAAAGTTTTCAGCCTTTAAAAACCCATTCCCCTTCTTTTTTTTTTTTTTTTTTTAAATAGAGTCTTGCTCTGTTGCCCAGGCTGGAGTCCAGTGGTGCAAACATGGCTCATTGAAGCCTTGAACTCCCACACTGAAGCAATCCTCCTGCCTCATCCTCTTGAGTATCTGTGATATGGTTAGGCTTCGTGTCCCCACCCAAATCTCATCTTGAATTGTAATCGCTGTAATCTCCAAGTGTCACAGGAGGGACCAGGTGGAGGTAATTGAATCACGGGGTCGATTTCCCCCATGCTGACTGAGCTGATGGTTTTATAAGGGGTTCTTCCACCTTCACTCAGTACTTCTCCTTCCTGCCACCTTGTGAAGAAGGTGCCTTGCTTCCCCTTCACTTTCCATCGTGGTTCATGAGGCCTCCCTAGCCATGCTGAACTGTGAGTCAATTAAACCTCTTTCCTGTATAAATTACCCAGTCTTGGGCAGTTCTTTATAGCCGTGTGAAAACAGACTAATACAGTCTGGGACCACAGGCATACACCACCATGCCTAGCCATTTATTTTTTATTTTGGTTGAGAAGGGTCTCACTCTGTTGCTCAGGGTGGAGTGCCGTGGCGTGATCTGGGCTCACAGCAGCAGCCTCGACCTCCCAGGCACAAGCAATCCTTCTGCCTCAGCCTCCCAAGTAGCTGGGACTACAGGCACATGCCACCAGAGCCAGCTAATATTTAATTTTTTGTTTGTTTGTTTGTTTGTTTGTAGAGACAGGGTCTCTCTATGTGCCCAGGCTGATCTTGAACTTCTGGGCTCAAACATTCCTCCTGCCTCAGCCTCCCAAAGTGCTGGGATTATAGCCATTACCCTTTTTGATAAGTGGAAACATCTTGTGCACGTTCTGGAGTTTTCATTATGAAAGTGATAGATAGTGATTCTCTAAAATGCTACAAGTATTAAATTTTTTTCTCAAACTCCCCTCTTCTCTGATTCATTAGGACTCTCTTCTATACAGAAAGATATGGCAATGGTAATAAGCTTCCATCTGAGAGAGAAATTGAACTCTTGCTAAAGTGATGATATTTCCTAAGGATTAGGAATTAATGGTAGAGCTGTGGTACTCTAACTAGCTGTATCACAGTCACCAACCCGGGGAGCTTGTTAAATCACACAGAGTTTCTGATTCAGGAGGTCTGGGGTGGGGCTGAGAACACACATTTCTTTTCTTTCTTTTTTTTTTTTTGATACAGAGTCTTACTCTCGCCCAGGCTGGAGTGCAGTGGCGCGATCTCAGCTCACTGCAAACTCCGCCTCCCAGGTTCACGCCATTTTCCTGCCTCAGCCTCCCAAGTAGCTGGGACTACAGGCACCCACTACCATGCCTGGCTAATTTTTTTGTATTTTTAGTAGAGACGGGGTTTCACCATGTTAGCCCGGATGGTCTCGATCTCCTGACCTCGTGATCCGCCCACCTTGTCCTCCCAAAGTGCTGGGATTACAGGCGTGAGCCACCGCGCCCGGCCGAGAACACACATTTCTACCAGTTCCCAGGTGATGCTGATGCTGCTGGTCTAGGGACCTAACTTCCAGAACCACTATTGTGAGGGATGGAAAAATAAAAGAAAGAACTTGGGTTCTGTCCTTGGTTGGTCCCTAAGATCTGTGAGGCCGTAAATTGGGTGGCTGCACTAGCATGCCGTGTGCAGTGAACACTTGTGTCTTGCTTAAAGGATTATTTTATCTAACTGGGTTCATATGATGCAGAAAATCACAGATCCGTAAAATATTCTCAGAAGCTATTTAGTTTCTCGCCAACTTGTAGTGTTGTCAGTAACTTTTCAGTTCTTTTGATTGATCGTTGGTATTATATGCAAAATGTCTCAACACTGTTACAATCTCACATTACCATGGAGGCTGGTTACTACTCTTCCTATTGCCTTTTAAGTTAGCCAGAAAACATGCGATACAGTTTTGTGTGTTATTAAAACAGTAATCAGTCCAGATTTATTTGCATTGTATAATATGTTCCTACCGTGATTATATAATGAAAATAACTTTTAATTCACTAGGAGAGAAGAATCCTGTTCTTAAATTACTTATAAGTCAGATAATACATGCCTTTGTGTAAATCCAGTTTTTAATGTTATTTGTGTGGTAAGTACCCATACCTAATTTTGATGAATTTGAATTTCAGCGGCTTCATTTTTCCTGTTTGCCCACTTAGAAGCTTTAAGGAAGTAAAGAAACAAATGTTTGTCAAAGCTAGAAAAAAGAATGTAGTCCCCAAACTAGGTAAATCTACCTCTGAATAATCAAATCCACCCATGTATTATTATAGGACCCATATGCATGAAGGCATGGGCATGCTGTCTGTGTTCATATGACCTGTCTCTGCAGTCAGTAAGAAGTAACGGGTGTCTAAATAAGAGAAGGGCAGCAGATCGTGAAGCCGTCGTTGGCATTTAAACAAGGTGGCAACTGAACTGCACTGTTCAGTTTCTTGTGGGTTCCGTGAACAGCATATGCTGTACCATTAATTATGGAAGGAATACATGTAATTGTTGGCTGTGGTTAACATTAGAATATTATTATGCATGAACATCAAGGGATATTGACAGAAATATTCAGTATGCTACATTGCTTCCAAAAATCAAATTTTGTTTGTTTTTTTGAGACAGAACCTCACCCTGTTGCCCAGGCTGGAGTACAGTAGCAGCTCACTGCAGCCCCAATTTCCCGGGCTCGAACAATCTTTCCACCTCAGCCTCCCAAGTAGCTGGGACTACAGGCATGCATCACCATGCCTGGCTAATTTTTGTATTTTTTATAGAGATGGTGTTTTGCCATGTTGCCCAGGCTGGTCTTGAACTCCTGGGCTCAAGCAGTCTGCCCACCTCAGCCTCCCAAAGTGCTAGGGTTACAGGCATGAACCACTGTGCTCGACCAATAATTTTTTTTTTTTTTATTCAACAGTCTCTCTCTAGAATTTATACTGTAAGTGAAAATGCATGTATATTTTTCTATCCAGAGAATTTACAGTCTAATGGAGAACACAGACACTTAGATATCTTCCATTAGGTGTACGGTTGCTGTGGTAAAAGTATGTATACATAGTGTACAGTGAGATAGCTCAGTATTTGGAGTCAGAAATGAGACCCTCTGACCTGTTTCCCTCCATTTAGCCATTGGAAACTTAAGAGTAAAAATAAATGTATATCAATAAAGAGCCATAGTGTGAAAATTTTATGTAGAAGTGCTAAATATTCTGACATTATGTTACTCATGATGTAGAAGAGGATCATTTCTCTAGTTTAGGGAATGGTGTTAAATACTTGAAGGCATGTTTAGTTTGAGGTCTCATTTAAAGAGCTCCTATTTTAGTGACTGACCTTGCAGGACAGAAAGTACATTTTAGAGAAGTGTAAATGTCCACTTTCCCTGGTTGTACTCTAAAATTTTATCTGGCACTGGTTAAACTAAGCCACTCTTAGGAACCAGTGAACATTCGAGGCAAGTAGTCTGTGCCCAGGCTTGTTCTAAATCCTTTGTGGCCGAGGACATAGCGTCTTGGAATGGTTAAAATGGATCTGCTCCTTTTGATTTCCAGGTAAGCTGTTGTTTGATGTGTTTTGTTTACCTGGTTTGCAATACCCAGAGCTTATTCTAGAGAAGGGATTCCCAGCTGGTGAATTGTCAGGGGATCTTTAACTCTTTAAAATGTATATAGATTCGGTTAATAAAATACAGGTTTACTTAAAAACGCTGGACTTCATAGTACCTTTTTGGTGTTAGGTATCAATGAATTGTCCTTGTGTATAATTACTGTTATATGTGTGTGGGGATGTATATATGTAATGAATTAATGTTGAGGTCATTGGCATTCCTCTGTGATTCATTATAGCTGTTACATAAAAGCCTATTTCCCCTATTAGTGTTTTGTTTCTCTTGAATTTTATATTTAGAATAAAAGAGAAATTATGTCTTTTATTAGAGATGCAATGAATGAATAAAATTAGTTCTACCTGATTATGAAGCATATGTATTTTCATGTAATGGTGATATAGCATAGAGATTAGGAGCCTGGGTTCAAATCCCAGTCCAGTTATTAATACATTACTTTGAAAAGTTACTTACTGCTTCACTTTCCTTATCTGTAAAATACAAATAATTGAATGGATTCAGGTGTGAATTCCATTGCACAGTCCAAGTGGGGGAAAAATTATAATTTTGCTTTTCTGTAATAATTTACAACAAATTACATCCCCGTCCTGCTGGGGAAGCAGACCTATAATATTTTAGTTCCCAGGCCACCGCCTCTTGCCCAGGGTGAAGCATAATTTGAGGGTGGGGATGGTAACCTAGTGCCATGGCCTTGAAGGTGTGACCCCATCTTGCCCTCCAGTCTCCTCTTTAGGCCTTTCCTCCTGCCCCTCAGTTTAGTAACTCTCTCCACCACTTCCTTGCTGTGCTGCTTGAGGACATGGTAACCACCTTGCTGGTTGTGCGCAGTATTGGGGCGTGAATCTCTGCAAAGCTCAGACCTTTCTGTCTTAATGTGATACATAGCTGTTTGGATTCTCCTATCCTCTCCGGTTGTTTCATGGTTTCACTAGGGTTCTGAAAGCAGGTGAAAAAAAACAAGAAAGCCTCACTGGGAAGGTGACACTCAGGTAGAGATCTGAGGGAAGGTGGGGGTGTCTTTGGATCTCGGGAAAGAGCAGACCCTCAGGCTGGTGCTTGGGGTGTCTTTGGATCTCGGGAAAGAGCAGACCCTCAGGCTGGTGCTTGGGGTGTCTTTGGATCTCGGGAAAGAGCAGACCCTCAGGCTGGTGCTTGGGGTGTCTTTGGATCTCGGGAAAGAGCAGACCCTCAGGCTGGTGCTTGCACAGTGAGGCCAGAGCTGAGGGAGCTCAGGGAAGAGGGGCTGCTCCCCAGGCTGAGGAGGCCCAGGCGACCACGGGGGCTTTGACATTTATTTGGCAATAAAACCATTGGAGGGTTTTCACCACACCCAAAATGACTGACTTTTACAAAAAATACTTTCTTTCTTTCTTTTCTTTCTTTTCTTTCCTTTCTTTCCTTTCCTTCCTTCCTTCCTTCTCCCTTCTCTCTCTCTCTCTCTTTCTTTCTCTTTCTTTCTTCTTTCTTTTTTAAAGAGTTGAGCTTGCCTTTATTACCCAAAGCTAACTGCAGGAGTTAACAGTCAGTTTGCTTTGATACTGGATTTAAGCCTTATTTTATCCCTTCTTAAAACTTAATTGATTGTATCTTATTAAAGCCACACTAGGAAAATCCTGTGCTCCATTTAAGTCAATCAGTAAGAGAGCTTCAGAAGGATTGACACAGTATCCTTCTCTATATGAGGAATACCCCAGTCAAATCAGCTGGGAGAAAAAACTTTGTAAAGAAATTTTTAAAAACCTCTATTATTTTGCATTCGAGATTTTGTCTGATAGAAAATTTCAGATTATGTTTCCTGGATATACTGAAAGTGAATACAAACGGCTCATCAGACCATTTGGCTGTTACCGTTATGCTGTTCACTCGACTGGTGGCCACATAGACATAAGCAAAGTACTTGCAGACTGCTGGATTTCTGACTGATGAAACCATTTCTGATCAGCGACTCACTGCATTTCTCTTCCGATGAGGGTCACTGTTTGCAGGGTGTCTGGTATAAACTTCCTGAAGCCCCAGCAGTCTTGAGAGCAGCAGTAGAAGAAAGCAGCTGGAACCCTGAGAACTGGGGCAGAATGCTGTTATGGGCTAAGAAGAAATGGCATCATCTTGGCTTAGAATTTGGAGATTCAATGAATCTTTATTCTTTCATGGTTCCATTAAGTGATTATTTTTAATATGAATTAGATCACTGGAATTTCATATTAGTCATGCTGAAAAATTCCACATCTGTGTGTTTTAATTTAGGGTCTTCAAGATGAAGGGCATCCCCCAATGATTAGGAGAGGCACAAGATAGAAATACAGATTTTATTACCTACAGGCCCTGGGAGTACACAGCAATCCTGGAGGTCACACACAGGATGGTCAGGGAGCTTGAAGGTCAGGAATTGTGAAGGGAGAGAGAGAGATTGAGACCTACCTAGAGACCCATGGGCCTTCATGGGGTCCAAACAGGTTTCCCCCAGGGAGGTTTAATTGGTTCCAGGAGGTCACACTGTGACTGCACAGCCCATGTGGGGTGTGGGGATCGGGGCCAGTGAAGTAGGCTGTGTGTAGCTTTCCCATGGGGAGGTGGTTGCCAGGAGGAAGTTGTCTAAGGCAGGTATCTGTATTAGTCATGTTGAGGAACTGGGAGGAGGTGTAGAACTGCACCCTCTGCCATGTCCAGGGTGACAGAGCCCTGCTTCTGCTACGACAAGGTCCCACTTATCTTCAAAGTGCATGCTGAGGCAACATAAAATGATAAGAATTTACTACACTGTGACTTTTAAACTATCATCTCAATGGTTTGGCATGATTCAATATTTTCTATTTTAACTTTTTATTTATAAAAATTTTAAACATGGACAAAAGTAGAACAGCACAGTGACACTCCCCTGTGTACTCATCACCCACCTCCACAGTGATCCTGGCCCGTTTTGTTTCCTCTAGCCTCCCCTCCCCTATTTTCCCCTTTCCTCATTATTTTGAAGCAAATTCCAGACATCGTTTCATGATAAGTATTTTAATATATATCTCCAAAACTGTAGACTTAAATAACTGTAATTCCTGTTATACTTAAAAATTCAGAATACATTCTTAATATCTTCAAATATCCAGTCTGTTGGTAGGCAGTGTAAACATATTCATAAATTAAGTTTGCTGTATCTATTAAGTTGCTTGATAGTATTAAGGTGAGAACAGTGCCATCTCTTACTGGTTGACATTTGTATGAGTCTGCCCATGTTAATGTAAAACAGATTTGCCACAGGTAATGTGACCATACAGGTAACATAATCTAACAGTTAAAAAATATATGCATGTCTTGCTTTTATCTTGTTGACTCCAGTGCTCTTATCAAAATCCTCATGATGCAACTGCCCAATGGGTTCACCATCACCACTGCCTAGACAGAATCGATTTATCAAGACAGGGGGATTGCAATGGAGTAAGAGTAATTCACGTAGAGCTGGCTGTGCGGGAGACCTGAGTTTGTTAGTCAGTCTCCCCGAGCATTTGGGGATTGGAGTTTTTAAAGATAATTTGGTGTTTTTAAAGATAATTTGGTGGGTAGGGGCTTGGGAAGTGGGGAGTGCTGATTGGTCAGGTTGCAGATGGAATCTTAAGGGGTTGAAGTTAGGTTTTCTTAATGTCTTCTGTTCCTGGGTTGGATGGCAGAACTGGTTGGGCCAGGTTACTGGTCTGAGTCCATCAAGTGCAGGGTCTGCAAATATCTTAATCACTGATCTTAGGTTTTACAATAGTGATGTTATCCCCAGGAGCAATTTGGGGAGGTTCAGACTCTTGGAGCCAGAGGCTACATGACCCCGAAATTGTAATTTCTTGTAGTTATTTTGTTAGTCCTGCAAAGGCAGACTGGACCCCAGACAAGAAGGGGGTCTTTTCAGGAAAGGGCTGTTACCAATTTTGTTTCAGAGTCAAACCATGGATCAAATTCTTTCCCAAAGTTAGTTCTGGCCTGTGCTCAGGAATGAACAAGGACAGCTTAAAGGTTACAAGCAAGATAGAGTTGGTTAGGTCTGATTTCTTTCAGTGTCATAATTTCCTCAATTATAATTTTGCAAAGGTGGTTTCAAGGAGATGAAGCCTTCTAAGCCTTTCTGTACAGCTTAGGTGGTGCCAGCAATGGGAGGATGCTTAGGACAAGGGTTGAAGAATTGACGAAAATGAAAATTGAAAAAGAAATATAGCTGACCCTTGAACAATGTGGGGGTTAGGAGCACCGACCGCCTGCCCAGTTGAAAATTAAAGTATAACTTTCGACTCCCCCAAAACTTAACTACTAATAGCCTGCTGTTGACTGGAAGCCTTATAACGCAAACAGTTAACACATATTTTGTATGTTATATGTATTACATACGGTATTCTTACAGTAAATTAAGCTAAAGAAAATGTTATTGAGAAAATCATAAGGAAGAGAAAATATATTTACTACTAAGTGGAAGTAGAGCATTAGGCCTTCATCCTCATTGTCTTCACATTGAGTAGGTGGAGGAAAAGGAGGGTGGAGTGGCAGAAATAGAAGAAACGGTGCATGTAAAGTGGACCAGACCTGTGTTGTTCAAAGGTTAACTGTACTGATTATCTTATTTTAACTTAAAATGTATAATGTGCATTTACTCACCAATCCTTTGATAGACAGACAGCTATGGTCTTTGTGTACTTCTGATTGCAGTGCTAAGTGATCCATTTTGCATAATCCATACTCAATTCATTGCAATTCTAATTTTTTGTTTCTTTTAGAAGAGCTTAAATAGTTTGAAGACAATTTCAAAGCATCGTGAGTACAGAATTCTAGATTTTAAAAAATTATTTCCCATTTGTCTTTTTTTTTTTTTTTTTTTTGAGATGGAGTCTCACTCTACCACCCAGGCCAGAGTGCAGTGGCATGATCTTGGCTCACTGTAACCTCCACCACCCAGGTTCAAGCAATTTTCCTGCCTTAGCCTCCTGCATAGCTGGGATTACAGGCCCATACCTCCTCACCTGCCTAATTTTTGTATTTTTAGTAGAGACAGGGTTTCACCACTTTGGCCTGGCTGGTCTCGAACTCCTGGCCCCAAGCTGTCTGCCCACCTCAGCCTCCCAGAATGCTGGGATTGTAACCGCCCAATGGGTTCACTTTGCCTGCCAATTTCTTAGAGCCGATTTCTCAGGACAAGCGGAATTGCAATAGAGAAAGAGTAATTCATGCAGTGCAGGAGACCGGAGTTTTATTATTACTCAAATCAGTCTACCCATAGAGTTTTTAAGGACAATTTGGTGGGTGGGGGAAGCCAGTGAGCCAGGAGTGCTGATTGGTCAGGGGTGAAATCACAGGGAGTCAAAGCTGTCTTGCACTGAGTCAGTTCCTGGGTGGGGGCCACAAGATCAGATGCCCAGTTTATTGATCGGGGTGGTGCCAGCTGATCCATCAAGTGCAGAGTCTGCAAAGTATCTCAAGCACTGATCTTAGGAGCAGTTTAGAGAGGATCAGAATCTTGTAGCCTCCAGCTACATGACTCCTAAATCATAATTTTTAATCTTGTGGCTAATCCTTGTTTTTTTTTTTTGTTTTTTTTTTTGAGACAGAGTCTCACTCTGTTGCCCAGGCTGGAGTGCAGTGGTGCAATCTCGGCTCACTGCAGCCTGCACCTCCCAAGGTCAAGGGGTTCTCCTGCCTCAGCCTCCTGAGTAGCTGGGACTATAGGCACCCGCCACCACGCCCGGCTAATTTTTTGTGTTTTTAGTAGAGACAGCATTTCACCGTGTTGGTCAGGCTGGTCTTGAACTCCTGACCTCAAATGATTTACCCACCTTGGTCTCCCAAAGTGCTGGGATTACAGGCATGAGCCACTGCGCCTGGCCGTCGTCCTTGTTTTAAACATCTTTGTTTCAAACTATAAATTCCCAAAGTTCGTTCAGCCTGCGTCCAGGAGTGAACAAGGACAGCTTGGAAGTTAGAAGCAAGATGGAGTCAATTAAGTTAGATCTCCTTCATTGTCTCAGTCATAATTTTGCAAAGGCAATTTCAGGATTACAGGCTTCAGCCACCGCACCTGGCCCTTTCCCATTTGTCTTTTTTTTTTTTTTTTTTTTAAGACGGAGTTCCGCTCTTGTCGCCCAGGCTGGAGTGCAATGGTATGACCTCAGCTCACTGCAACCTCCACCTCCTGGGTAGAAGCGATTCTCCTGCCTCAGCTTTCCGAATAGCTGGGCTTACAGGCACCCGCTACCATGCCCAGCTAATTTTTTTTGTATTTTAGTAGAGACGGCGTTTCACCATGTTGGCCATGCTGTTCTCAAACTCCTGACCTCAGGTGGTCTGCCTGCCTTGGCCTCCCAAAGTGCTGGGATTACAGGTGCGAGCCACCGTGCCCGGCCCCATTTGTCTTAACTGTTGTCTCACTTACACTTATTTTGACAGTAAACTTTTTAGCCATCTACTTACATTTCTTGGAAACAATTACTCTTTTTTGAACTCATGTTTCATTAGCTATGTAATAATTCAGTTGCATAGCTATAGTAACTTACTGTAATCACAACTGGTTCATGGTAAGTATATGATTCAGATGGTGGGGTCAGAATTTCCTGTGTATACTAGAGAGTATCCTGCAAAATGCAGGAGTTCAACATGCCACATATTTTATACAAAGCATAGACGGCATTGGTGAATCTGGTAAATTGATTGTGTAGCATACAGGCTGTGTGATACTCTCCCATTAGTCATAGTTTTGAGATTTATGGCTGGTTCCTGTGGTTGCTTAGGTTGGAGTATGGTTCTTGTGAACTGAATATTGGACTTTGAAAAGAATTGATAGTAGATGCTGAATTTGGTATTGTTTTGTTCTTTACTCTTATAACTTGATTGACTCCCTTAATAAATCAGTATCCTAGTGCCATATCATAATTTACAAAATGATCAGAGGTGCTTTTGTAACACTTTCAGTGTTATTGATTTGCAAGAAGGATCAGCTGGAAGGCACAAAGGATCCTGGCAAAATTCTGGTGAGAGGCGCCCGTCCTGCTGTGCAGGTGTCTCTTACGGCCCTCCTGATGAGATTGTCTTCGGCTTCTCTGCCTTCGCATCTGATGCATCCCTCACTTGGTCACCTTTTCCCCTCTGTCAGCTGCTGTTAGGCAAAATCTCTTCCTTTGTCCAAGTATGATTCATTCTTCCATTTTTATGTAATAAACTTTAAGTTAGCTCTTCAAATTTTATTTTATTTTTCCAACTTAACTCTCTTTGGCAGTCTTATTTTACCATATCCTTAAGCCTACATTTGTGCTGCATTAAAAGCCAGCTGTAGTTCTGTGGTGAGGTTTATGTTAGCTCTGTGAATCTAGAAAAGAAATTGCCCTGAAGAGGAACTGCTGATAAAAATAAATCGTAGTTAAGAATACTGGCCTCAGGCCAAGTATGGCTTAAAGCAGAGACCCATATTCCTCATGTAACCTAGTTGTATATGTATTTATGTCGATGACCTTAAGGGGAAGTATCATTTTGAGTAGCTTAAAGATCAGTATGTTTCACTTTAGTAATGTTCTTTACATACTTTGATATAAAGTATTTAAATTCTTTAAAAAGGCCCAGAGACTTGCAGATCATCTAGGCTGACCCTGTCATTTTTCATGTGTGAAAGCTGAGAGCTGGGAAATAAGTATTCAGTGTCTTTCACCTTACACAATAATTCATGGTTATGATGGTGACCTTGAGTCATAAGAAAAGGTTCTTCTTGGCGGAGTGTGGTGGCTCACACCTGTAATCCCAGCACTTTGGGAGGCCAAGGCAGGCGGATCACTTGAGGCCAGGAGTTTGAGACCAGCCTAGCCAACGTGGCGAAACCTCATCTCAACTAAAAATACAAAAATTTGCTGGGCATGGTGACGTGTGCCTGCAGTCCCAGCTACTTGGGAGGCTGAGGGATGAGAATCACTTGAACCTGGGAAGTGGAGAAGTGAGCCCAGGTAGCACTACTACACACCAGCCTGGGCAACAGAGCAAGGCTCCATCTCAAAAAAAAGATTATTCTTAATTATACTTTCAGAGTAAGCTTTTTATGAAACTAGGAGAGTCTGCAGGTTTTTGTTTTTGAGACAGGGTCTGGCTCTGTCTCCCAAGCTAGAATGCAGTAGCATGATACCAGCTCACTGCAGCTTCCACCTCTTGGGCTCAGGTGATCCTCCTACCTCAGCCTCCAAGTTAGCTGAGACCACAGGTGTGCACCACACTGCTTGGCTAATTTTTGTATTTTTGGTAGAGATGGGGTTTTGCCATGTTGCCCAGACTGGTCTTGAACTCCTGAGCTCAAGCGATCTGCCCACCTCCACCTCCCAAAATGCTAGAATCACAGTTGTGAGCCACTGCGCCCAGCCTTGTAGTACTTATTTTAAAAAGACCAAGAAAAATGATGAGGCTAAAGTTTTCCTGATGGTGTAGATCTTTGGAAAAGCTGAATAACCCAAATGCTATATATTCTATAGGAGTTTTCTTTCTGAAAAATATATATTTTTAAATTTCATCCATTTCGATTGTTGAGTTTTTGGGACTAAAGTGGCAAGCAGGAATGTGGGGAGGCCTTGCTGGGAAGGAGCCAGGCTATGTATATCTGTGCTGATGGATTAATAATTTCCACGTGGGCCCAGGAAGGAGGGAGGAAGCTTCATCATAGGTTACACGTCGTCTATTCTGGTTTTAGTAGTGCTAAAATCCTGTAACATATTTTTCAGTATATTTTACTTGTCGGTTGTGTAAATACTCCTTTTCATCTCTGAATGCTAATTTATTTGCACAAAAACAGCAGCAGGGAAGCCCTGTTGAAAATAAGGTATTAATTTTTATAACTCTCTTGGTAAATGTACCTTTGCATTATTTGGCCTCTGGCATTGTTTTGACCTGGCTTTACACAGTCCTTTATCTGGGCCTCCTGCCACCTCCCCACCCCACATTCTCCCTAGCCCCTGTTCCTCACTGGCAAGACCCCTCCTCACCTGCCTGCTGTAAAGCCCTTACTCTGTCGCATCACCTGATTAACTTCTGTAATTGCACTCACCACCACCTGGAATTGCTTTGCGTGTTGATGGCTGTGTCTCCTCCTAAAACAATGCTTCTGAGAGAAGGAGAACATCTTGTTCCTGGCTTTTCACCACTATGTCCCCCTAGAACAGCATTCATGGTACTAACTGCCTATTCAATATGTGTTGATAAAATATAAACATACCGGCTACCTAGCTTCAATCTGGTAGCTAGTCATTGGCTTTACCCACCCAGAGAATGCAGAATTTTAGAATTGGCTCTGATGGCTTTAAGCAGAAAAAACTGGGCAGGCTATTAGGGGAAAATTCTTCCCCCAAACCGTGGTAGAGATTTAGAAAAAGTGTAATTAAGACATGAAAAGGATAAGCGTTGGCATTTTGCAAAATAAAGTTTAATTTGTAAATTTAAAAGTTTAATGATTGCCTGTTAAAGTATTGGCTTTTGGTTCTTTTAGCTGGGGCAGTAAACCTAGATGAAGTGAAGTTTTTTATTTAAAAGAAACTGTACTTTCTGTACTTTGAAAACTGAACTAGTAAGATTGAATTTATTTGGAAATGGCAGTGAAACTTGAACTCTGTAAGCACCTCTTAGGTGGCAGATGCCGTGCTACCTGGTAAATGGCTGTGTCAGGTACTGTGCTGAGCAGGACTGACAGGGAGCTTACAGTTTAGAGAATGCAGACATGTCCACAAGCAACGATAGTACAGCAGCCGTAAAATGATAGGGGAAGGGTAGTGTTATAAGGCCGTCCATGGGAGGGATAGATACGTAACCGATTTTGCACGTCATAAAATGCTTCCCACTGGTGACATCTAAGCTGAGACCTGAAAGGTGAGTAGGATTTGGTCAGGTGAAGAAAGAGGGAAGGTTGTGACATGTTTATGGAATTGAAAATAGTTCAGGCCGGGTGTGGTAGCTCATGCCTGTAATCCCAGTACTTTGAGAGACCGCAGCAGTAGGATCACTTGAGCCCAGAAGTTTGAGGCTGCAGTAAGCTGTGATGCACCACTGCACTTCAGCCTGGGTGACAGTGAGACCTTGTCTCAAGAAAAGAAAAGAAAATAGTTCAATAAGTCTGGAATTTATCATTGAAGGTAAGAATTGTAAGTGATAAGGCCACGGAGGTGTTCAGGGTCAGGTGATCATATAATTTTTTAGTCCAAACTGGAATACTTTCAAGAAAAAAGAGGGTACAGTTAATTACACTGAGATAACAGGCATAAACTGGGGCTGGCCTGGATAGATGAGGATACATGGTCAGCCTCTTTATAAGCCATGCTTATTAACATTGGGGTTTATTTAGTGAACAGATAGATGTTGAGCACCTACTGTGTTCCAGGCATTGTGCTTGGGCTTTCTTGTAAGAGCTGTGGGAAGCACTGGAAGGTTTGAGTCAAGAGCGGCAATGCTTAGTGTGCATGTTCAAAAGGTCCTTGGCGCTGCAGGCGGAAGATGAATTGGAGCAAGGCGCAGCAGGTGTGCAGAGGCTGGAGGAGGCTTTTGAAGTGAATGAAAATAATTAAAGATGACTTGGACTGTGGAACTCACACATGGGATGGAGAGAAGTGAGTAGATTGTAGCAGTATTTAGAAAGTAGATTTGCCAGGCCTTTCTTAGAGGTGGAAAGGAATGAGAGGAGGAGTCAAGAGTACCTTTCAGTTTCTTTTTGGGTGAGTGGATAGGAGAAGTTCCATCTAGAAGGCTGGGGAATGCTGGAGAGAAGGCAGGGTCTGTGCTGGAATGCTGATGAGGCCTTGCTTGGTGTGTTGTGTGCTCTTGGAACTGCATGCAGGAATCTGATAGGTGACAGATTTTCAAGTCTGAACCTCAGGAGGAAAGATCTAAGAAATGGACTTGGGATTCATCAGTATAAAGATGGCAGGTGACGTTGTCAGAGTGGATGTTACCCAGGGAGAATGTCTAGAGTAAGAAGAGTGTAGGACCCTGGAAAACACAGACATTTACAGTGTGGCCTGGCTAATGCCTGGGCAAGGAGAGAAGGTGGAAAGGAAGGAAGAAAACCAGAGGAGGGCAGGTGTGGAGGGGCGAGGGGAGGAGAGTGTTTCAAGAAGGAAGAGTGGACAGCAATGTCAGACGCAGTCAGGCAGTCAGGTGGGTTGAGGGCCTAGCATGGTGATTGGATTTAGCAGTAAGAAAGCTGCCGGTATCCTTGGCCAGAGCTGTTTCAGTGGTGTCAGTGTGGGCAAGGCTTGACTAGTGCAGGGTGAAGAGTGAGTAGCAGATGAAGTAGACCCGGGGCATGTGGAAAACTTCTCTGAAATTTGAATTTCTTGATGTTAAGAGAAGGTATTATTCAAAGGAATATGTGGGGTTGAGGGATGGTTTCTTCTTCCTTTTTAAGGATGTGACAGACAGGTGGGTTAAACACTAATGGGAAGGAGAGCGTGGCGAAGTTGTAATCAGTGCGTGGATGGGAGGAGTAACCAACAGTCCCAGTGCAACTGGGTGGGCTCACATGCACATTATCTTTCGAGTTTGCTGGGGGAGTCTCTTCCCTTGGCTTCTCTTTTTTTTCCACTTTCTGAAGTTGGGGTAAAGGTCATGGGCCTGTTATGTAACCCCCAAGAGCTCCCTTAAACAAAAATTTGATAGTGGTGTTTCATTGTCAAGCTCCATACATCTGATAATGCTTGGTGACTGTATTTAAAATATTTTATTTTTCCTGAAGGCTCCTGGCAGGTCACTTTTAAGAGCATATATCTTCTTTGCCTTTTCAGCTCATGGCACTGCTGGCTGCCAGGGGCTGGGCCTGTGCTGGGGTGCACCAGCTGTCAGCTGAATAAGGCTAACGCCATAGAAGGAAGGAGCATGCAGTTAGGATACCATTCTGGTTTATTCCACAATTGTACATTTTTACTTATTTCTATGGTCTTTTGAAAATAGTGATAAGGCTGGGCGTGGTGGCTCATGCCTGTAATCCCAGCACTTTGGGAGACTGAAGTGAGTGAATCACTTGAGGCCAGGAGTTCAAGACCAACCTGGCCCACATGGTGAAACCCTATTTCTACTAAAAATACAAAAAAATTAGTGGGGCATGGTGGCACATGCCTGTAATCCCAGCTGCTCAGAAGGCTGAGGCAGGAGAATTGCCTGAACCTGGGAGGTGGAGGCTACAGTGAGCCGAGATCAAGCCTCTGCACTCCAGCTTGGGTGACAGAGCAAGATGGTCTCAAAAAAAAAAAAAACCCTAAAATAAATAAATATAAATAAACCTCTACAAAGTATACAAAATCTTAGTTAAAAAAGAATAAAAATAGTGGTAAAAATACATAACATAAAATTTACCATTTTAAGTATATGATTCAGTGACATTAGATACATTCACAATGATGTGTAACCATTGCCACTATTTCTAGAACTTTTTTCACCATCCCAAATAGAAACTCTGTATTGCATTAAACAATAACTCCCCATTTCCCACTCCCTGTAGCCCCTGGTAACCCCCATTCTACTTTCTGGCTTCATTTGCCTATTCTAGGTATCTCACATAGTGGAATCATATATTCGTTGTTTTTTTCTTTTTGAAACGGAGCCTCACTCTGTCACCCAGGCTGGAGTGCAGTGGTGCCATCTTGGCTCACTGCACCCTCCACCTCCAGGGTTCAAGCGATTTTCCTGCCTCAGCCTCCCGAGTAGCTGGGATTACAGGCGTTCGCTACCACACCCAGCTAATTTTTTGTATTTTTAGTAGAGACGGGTTCACCATGTTGGCCAAGCTGGTCTTGAACTTCTGACCTCAAGTGAGTGACCTGCCTCTGCCTCCCAAAGTGCTGGGATTACAGGTCTGAGCCACCGTGCCCGGCCTGTTTGTCCTTTTGTGTCTGGCTTATTTCAATTAGCGTAATGTTTTCAAGGTTCGTCTGTAATGTAGCATGTATCCGAACTTCATTTCTTTTTATGGCTGAATAATATTCCTTTGTATTTTGTTTATTCATCCGTTGATGGACATTTGAGTTGCTGCCACCTTTTGGCTATTGTGAATGGTGTTGCTGTGAACTTTGGCTTACAAGTATCTGAGTCCCTGCTTTCAGTTCTTTTGAGTGGAATTTGCTGGATCATATGGTAATTCCGTGTTTAACTTTTGGAGGAACTGCCAAACTGTTTTCTACCGTGGCTGTACCATTTTATATTCCCACCAACCATTGATTTAGTTTGACTTCTGTTGTTTAAAGAAGTATATCTGAATTTTACACATACTCCAAAACTGTAATTATTTGAATTAATTGGAGTAGAAATTAATTTGAAATAATGAAATGTCTGATTACTGGACATCAAAAGCTGCTTTGCATTAGGCCATGGTTCTCAGAATTCACAATCCTCCTTTCCATTTTTTCCTCCCTCCCTCCCTTCCTCCTCTCGCTACCATGGTCACTCTCAGCTTCACAATAAGCACGTGTATCTTAGGGCATTTGAACTTCAAATACTACAGCACCTCACACGTAAGAACTCTGTAACAGTAGACCTCTATTTCCCTTTCCTGTCCTATGTGCTACTTTTTTGTTTTGTTTTTTTGAGACAGGGTCTTGCTTTGTTGCCCAGGCAGGAGGGCAGTGGCGTAATCACAGCTCACTGCAGCCTCAACCTCCTGTTTAAGCGATCCTCCCACTTCTACCTGCCAAGTAGCTAGGACTACAGATGCAGACCACCATGCCCGGCTAATTTTTGTATTTGTAGAGACAGGGTCTCTCCACGGTGCCCTGGCTGGTCTTAAATTCCTGAGTTTGTGCGATCTGTCCACCTCGGCCTCCAAAATGCTGGGGTTACAGGCATGAGCCACTGTGCCTGGCCTTTGTATTTTTGTCATACATTTTATTTCCCAGTATTATAGACTCCAGAATATGTTGTTGTTATTGTTTTAAAAGTCAGTTATCTTCTTAGTTTTCTTTCAGAAAAATTAAATGGTGAGTTTTTTTGTTTGTTTGTTTGTTTGTTTTGCATGGCCCATGTATTTACCATTCCTGGTGCTCTTCCTTCTTTTGTGTGGATTCAGTTTTCCATCTAGTATCATTTTCGTTCTGGTAAAAGCATGTTTGACATTTCCTGTAGTATTGCTTTGCTGGTGACACATTCTTCCTCAGCTTTTGTCTGAAATGCCTTTATTTCACCATCATTTTTGAAGGATGTTTTTGCTGGGTATAGAATTCTAGGTTGGTAGTTTTTGTTATTTTTCAGCATTTTTAAGGTGACATTTGGCTTGTACATGTTGTTCTTGAGAATTCTGCAGTTATTCTTTGTTCCACTGTATGTAATAATATATGTTTTTCTCCTTTCTCTGATTTTAAGGTTTTTCTCTTTGTTGCTGATATTCTGAAACTTGACTATGATGTGTCTTTGTGTGGTTTTCTTTGTGGTTTTTTTCCTGTGGAATTTATTCAACTTCTGGGATCTGTAGGTTATAGTTTTCACAAATTGGAAATTTTTGACATTACTTCTTCAGACACTTTTTCTGTCTTCCCCTCCATCATTCTGGGATTTGAATTACATGTATACAGTAACTGTTGTTGTTTCATAGGTGACTAACTGGGTAGGGGAATGTCTGGTTCCCTTACTATCCGGTGAAGTAGCAGAACCACCTTTTGTAGGAATCAGTTATCAGGCCCTTTACTTTCCCTTGAACTCTAGGCTAGTTCCAGAACCTTTGGTGGACTGGAAAGAGGAAATAGTTATGCCACAATTTTTAGTACATGCAAATGTACATGTAATGTTTAAAAAAAAAAAACAACAAAGGTGGTGATAGCCTGCATTTACTGGGCCATATGTGCCGGTCCCTATTCTATGGGCTTTATTTTTATTACTTCATTTCTCCTTTGTGTCACAAGGCACAGGCAGTTTGAGACCAAGACTTTAAGGAATTGGTCCAAGTTTTCAAGACTGGTGAAACAGTGGTGTGAGGATTTGAACCTATGTGCCTGGCTTCAAAGCCAGCTTATCATTGGTATGTTGCCAGTAATTCCATTTCCTCCCCCTTTGGGGAAGAAGTGAGACCTTGTAAATACACACACTGGTGAGGGTGTGGGAGATGGGTACTCTCAACTGGGAGTAAGTTTCTGCCAGTTGTCTCTGGGGTTTGGTATTTGCTACTGTTTGATTTTAAACTTTACTATATTTGTATTCCTGTCTCCCCACCCCCAGTGAGCATGCAGTTTTACAATTGGGAAAAGCAATAAAGCTATTTTAATTTGGGGGCTGGTGGTGAAGTTATTTTCTTAGCCACAGCAAAGTAAGTTTTAATGTGCCTTGCCCTAGGCGTTAAATAGTGGGTTAGTAACCTTGCAGCTGTGATAAAGAACAAAGTAGCTATGCTGATGTGAAGAGTCCTAAGAGAAAATATGAATAAATAAAAGTCCTAAATAAATGAAATGTAGAAGAGCACATAAGAAATGTTAAGAGTATGTAAGCATATACTGTGATTCTAATTGCTTCTGTGCATGTGTGTGCTTTGACTAGTTGTGTACATGCAAACACGTATGGCAAATTTATAACATTTTGAGGGATATTTTAAAAATCAGCACTAATGCCCTTTGGCACTTTTAGAAACTGTTCCTTTTTAACTTCATTGTGTTGCTTTTGTTGTTGTATTAATAAAAGTGTAGGTATGTATTTATATACACTGAAATTATTGGTTCTCAGAATGAAAAGTCTAGGAATATGGTTTACCCCCTTTTATGTGGCCTTTAATGCAGATTCTGTTTGCCATCTAATCTGCTTTTTAGTTACACTTTGGAGTGTTTTGTGCTTTGTTATAATCAGGGAAGCATTCTTTCATAAATTTTGATGTTTGCAACATGACTCTGAGCATCCTAGGTAGAGACAATCCAAGACAGTGCTTTAAATTTTTAATTTTTTTGACGGGATAATAGGTTCATGTTAAAAAAAAAAAAAAAACCCCACAACACTACAAAAGGGCAAAAAAACCCCACTGAAAATTCCTTTCCTATCTCTCCTCTCCTTTAGCCATCTTCTTTCCTCAGGGGCAGTGTTACCCATTTCTTTTACATTGTTACCGAGATTTCCTGTGCATACACAAGCAAATGCATGTACTGCATCGCTGGGCCCTCTTTCTTACACAAGTGGTGTGCCTGATTTGTTTTCTCACTTAATACATATATATTAGAGATCATTCCACACCAGAAAAGTAAGCAAATCTTGTTCTTTTGGCTGCGGTATAGTACTCCGTTTCGCAGAGATCCCATACTTGATGAACTAGTCCTGCCTTTTAGGTTGTGTTTGGTCTTTTGCTATTCTGGGTGGCATTGCAGTAAATATGAATAACCATGTATATATGTCAGTTTGCAAAAGTCTATTTCTAGAGGATAAGTTCCTAGACTTTCTCGTTAAGATACATGTGTGTTTGTAATCCTGATAGGCATTACCAAATTGCCTCTTCTGTTAGCGCGATGTAAGGATACCTGTTTCCCTAAACCTTATGCCCTTACCAGCATGGTGTTAGCAGAGTTTTGCTTTCGTTTTTTGGTAGACTGATAGGTGAAAAATAAACTGTTTCATTTTATATTCTTTTCTGAGTACAGTTTTACATTTTAAAAACCATTCTTTTCTTACTGACTCGTACTCTTTATATAGAGTAGCAGGAGCAATCTTTAGTCTGTGTTATGAATTGCAGACATTTTCCCCAGATTGTCATTGATTTTTGTTGTTGTTGTTTTGAGATGGAGTTTCGCTCTTGTTGCCCAGGCTGGAGTGGAGTGCAGTGGCACAGTCTCGGCTCACTGCAACCTCCACCTCCTGAGTTCAAGTGATTCTCCTGCCTCAGCCTCCCAAGTAGTTGGGATTACAGGCAGCCACCACCACGCCAAGCTAATATTTTTTTGTTTTTTTGTATTTTTAGTAGAGACAGGGTTTCACCATGTTGGCCAGGCTGCTCTTGAACGCCTGACCTCAGATGATCCACCCGCCTCGGCCTCCCAGAGTGCTGGGATTACAGGCGTGAGCCACCACGCCCGGCCTGTCATTGATTTTTATCTTGTTTATGTTGGCTGTTGCCAGGCGGGTATGTTTTATTTTGGGTGAAGAGACATTTCTCCCATTCTCCCTGTAAAAGACTTGTCGATTTTATTTCATAAAGTCTCCTCTACTGCAAGAGTATTTTTAGAAATTCTCCTAAGATTTTCTTTGGTGTTTTTTATGGTTTTTTAAAAAGACATTTTATTGTGGAGCATGCCAAACACATTCAGAAGTAGAAGAGTATAATAAAGCTGTTTGTAACCATTATCCACCTTTGGCAACTAACCAGCTCATAGCCTTATTTCATCAAGACCCCATCAGTGTCTCTTGCTCCTGCATTATTTTTGAAGAAATGGCAGGTATTTTAACACTTCATCTGTAAGTATTTTCATGTATACCTCTAAAGATGGGGAGGAAAGAGGAAAGTCTTTTAAGAATATAACCACAATGCTGCTTTGATCCCTAAAAAATGAATACTTTTAAATATCACAGTCCTTTAAGAATTCAAATTTCATAATCATTTCTGCAGTTGGACTCAGAATCCTAATAAAGTCTGCATATTACTATCACGATCAATCTTCTCTTCATTTATAGGTTCCCTTACCTCACTCCCAACCCTTATCCCCTACTTGTTTTGTCTTTGGGACGTATTTGTTGGGATGGATTTCTGTAGTACCTTGATTTCTTACCTTACCCTCATTACATAGTTTAATATATTCTTTTGTATTTCTTGTTACTAGGATTTAGAGGGTGAATAGATTCACATTCTTTTTTTTTCAAGTATATTTCATAAGCAGGATTGTATTCCATCAGAAGGCAAGTAATGTCTGCTTGTCTTTGTGATGCACTATGCTTAGATGAATTAAATCTTTGGGGATTGAAAAAAATGATCTCATTCTATTATTCCTTCATTTATCAGCTGAAATGCTTGTAAAAGAGAAACTTTTATCTACTACTTGGTTACTTAATAGTACAGTTCTTAAAGGATAAATGGTTGATTTTTTTGCCTTTATTTACCAGTTGTCAAAATGAATTCATTTCCTACCATTCTATAATGATGACCAATTAGTTTTATCATCATGAACTCATGAGTTTAAGCAAATTTAATGTTTCAGTCCATTGTGGTCATTATCCCTATTGATGCTTGTATTCTTCCACATTTGGACAGCAAGCTCATCTTCAGGTTGGTACCTGTGTCTTTTTGACACAACCAGTAGGCTTTGCTAGTAGTGTCTTTGATAATCTGATAGGAAAAGATGTTCCAGGCCCATCTTGTATGTTTTATATGGGATTCTTGTTTTTTCCCACTGAAACCTGGAGTCAACTATTTCTCTAAGTAAATCTGGTTCCTTTTAATGAAAAATGCTGCTCGGAATTCCCAATCTGGGCACTAGATATGTGATTACCTTTTTTAAAAAAAAATTAATCTTTGACCCATTATATGATTTATTTTGTTGGGAGAAGTGAGGTAGGAATTCATTTTTTTCCTTCAGATAGTTACTTATTTGTTCTAAAACAATAAAATGCCATCTTTATCATGTTACCTACGTTTCTATATGTCTTTGGGACTTGTTGTGGACTTCGTACTTTTCTAGTTTTTCCTTGTTTTTTTTTTTTTCCATGAAAAAGATTGGGGGCCATTCTTGTTTGTTTATATGTCCAATTGAATTTTAGGATTAGTTTGTCCTGTTTCAGAAAAAAAAAATCCTATTTGTATTTTTATTAGAATTATTGAAGGAGAGGGGAGAGGTGCTATTGATGATATTGGGGCTTCTCATCTAAAAATATGGGGAGACTCTTTGAATCCATTTGTATTGTATAACAAACTACCCCAAAACTTAATGACATAAAACAACAAATACTTTGTATTTCTTACAGTTCTGTGGACTGACAATGCGTGGTTCTTGTGGTCTGGAGAGCCCATCTGAGGCTGGATAGTCTTAGGTGGCCTTTCCTTCATGTTAGGGTCTCACCTTACACAGCTAGGATGATGCGGGCCTCTTTCCATATGGTCTCGGATCTGCAGAGTTACTAACCCAGCCAGGTTCAGTGGTAGCACAGGTGATCCTGGCAGCAAGAGATGGCAGCCCCCACCCCATGTATAAGTGCTTTTCATGCCTATGTTAGTATCACATATGCTATCGTTCTGTTGGCCAGAGTAAGCACATGAACTCGTCCGGAGTCTTTTTTCTTTTTCTTTTTTCTTTTTTTTTTTTTGAGATGGAGTTTTGCTCTTGTTGCCCAGGCTGGAGTGCAATGGCGCAATCTCGGCTCACCGCAGCCTCCACCACCCGGGTTCAAGTGATTCTCCTGCCTCAGCCTAGCGAGTAGCTAGGATTACAGGGACGTATGTTTAGTAGAGACGGGGTCTGTCCATGTTGGTCAGGCTGGTCTCAAACTCCTGTACTCACGTGATCCGCCTGTTTCGACTTCCCAAAGTGCTGGGATTACAAGTGTGAGCCACCATGCCCGGCCATTGTCCAGAGTCTTAATGGGAGGAGTGACAAAGTCATATTGCAAATTGGTATTGATATAGGGGTGGGAGGATTTACTGTGGCCATTGTTACAATCTACCTTGATGTATTAGCATGTTCTCACACTGCTAGTAAAGACATACCTGAGACTGGGTAATTTATAAAGAAAAGAGATTTAATGGACTCACAATTCCACATGGCTGGGGAGGCCTCACAATCATGGTGGAAGGCAAAGGAGAAGCAAAGGGACATCTTACATGGCAGCAGGCAAGAGAGCTTGTGCAGGGGGACTCCCCTTTATAAAACCATCAGATCTCATGAGACTTACTCACTACCACGAGAACAGTATGGGGGATACCACCCCCATGATTCAGTTATCTCCACCTGGCCCTGCCCTTGACACATGCAGATTATTACAATTCAGGGTGAGATTTGGGTGGAGACACAGCCAAACCATATCACATACTCTCCATTTTTTCCAATTTTCTGTGTTATTTAAGAAATTCTAAAGTTTTTTTCCAGATAGGTTTTACACATTTCTTAAGTTTATTCCTAAATATTTCATCTTCCGCCATTACTGTACATGATGTCTTTTTCCTCTCATTTTAATTTAGAATTCTTGGACAGGTGACATACACACACACAGTTAAAATTAAATGATATGAAAAGAAATATAATGAGAAACGTCACTTCCACTTGTGTTATCACTGAGTTTCTTCTCCCATGTTTCTAGGTGACCAATTTAAAATTAATTTCTTGTTTTATTTAATGTTTCTTTATGGAAATACTGGCAAATATAAATATTCTGCTCATGAAAAAGGTGTAGCATGCTATATGCCCTGTTCCATAAGTTACCTTTTTTGACCATGTATTCATTCCATGTCTGAGTATATAGATTGTTCTCATTCTCTTGTTGCTGTATAATATTCCATTTTGACAGCATAGCCTGGTTTATTTAATCAGTTGCCTGTTAGTAGAAGCTATATTGGGGTAGCATTCCTTAGCATCAGATTTGCAGAAATCGAAAAGTGGAGTGATTTATTCTGTTTGTGAAGCTGTAGAAAAATGTTACTTTCGTATATAATACTGGTAGAAGTTTAAATAGTACAACCCCAAATTGTGGCCGTGGGGATCTGGCAATGTCTGCCAGATTAATTTGTCTCTCTTAGTGTGTGAGATTGAGCGTTTTGTCATGCATTTAAGGGCCATTGTATTCTTTAATGAACTGTTTGTTCCTCTGCCCATTTTTGTATTAGGTTGCTGGTCTTTTTCTTGAGTTCCAGAAACTCTTTATGTATCAGAAGATTAACACTTTGTGATATGAATTGAAAATACTCTTTCCTTTATGACTTCTGCTGTATGTTAAGACTAGTGATTTTTACATAATTTTGTTCCGGGTCATGTTATAGGAGTCAGCAAATTTTGGCCCATGAACAAAATCTAGCCTGTCATGTGCAGTTTGTAAATAAAGTTCCACTGGAACGTGGCCATATCCATTTGTTTATATATTGTCTGTGGTGGCTTTTGCACTGCGGCAGCAGAGACAGACTGAATGGCCTGCAAACTCGAAAATATTTACTATCTGGTCCTGTACAGAAAAAGGAAAAGCAACCCCTCATTTAAAGCAATAAAATCAAAGTGTTTTGTATGATACAGCCATTTTGACATGGCCTTAAAAAAATAGCCTAGGCAACATAGTGAGATCTCGTCTCTTTAAAAAAATTAAAAAATAAAATATTAGCCAGGAGTGGTGGCATGTGCCTGTAGTCCTGTCTATCAGGAGGCTGAGGCAGGAGAATTGCTTGAGCCCAGGAGTTCAAGGCTGCAGTGAGCCATGATTGCACCACTGCCCTCCAGCTTGGGTGACAGAGCAAGATGCGGTCTCTCAAATACAATAAAATATCCAATTAAATTCAAGTTTTGTGTGTTTAATTATGAAGTAAGGCACAGCACAGGCAGTCACACGTAGGTTTCAGAAGTATCTGTTTTGACACATTACTTGGTAATCGTGATGGTACATGTGATATGGCCAGTTGATGCCACCACATCAAATCACTGTTAAGATATCTTTGTCTAATTGTTCTTGTGTGCACCGCATATAGAAGCTTTGATCTGGGTGAGTGTGGGTAGAATGACTCTTAAAATCATCCCAATCTCTAGAAGTTTGGTTACAGTGTAGCCTCAGTTTGTATTTCCTGTGGTCTTAAGTACTTTCCAGAGCTGTTCTGCACGAGTGAACTACAGAGAGAGGGAGAGCAGTTTGGAAGAGTATGGTACAATTTGATTTATGTATTTTAAGTACTCAGAACTCTGCTCCCCTAGAATTGTACAGTCGCCTTTTGTTACACTCAGATTTAAGTTTACACTAAGTATTTCTTGGGAATTTGTAATTCTACTCAGGGAATTTCTATTTACATTTCTGTTTGACTTGGAAATTTCCCAAACTGCTTGTCTAATTGACCATCAGTTTAAAAAATTCCTCTAAGTGCATTTGTTTCAGAATAACAGATATAAACCTATTTTAGGAAAAAACATTTTTAAAGAACATATCAATTTACCAGTAGTTTATTCTTGAAAATTTTACATACAGAATATTTAAAAATTTTTATTCATTCTCAATTGCTGCTACCAATTCTTTTTAGAAATTTCTTCTGTTTGGAAAAGATCTTTTGCTAGAACAACTGTTAAAATGTTCTATCATCTTGACTATACTTTTGAATGGATTATTAAAGAAATTGCTTCTCAACATTTAAGGAAACTTCATTTCCTTCTTTGGAAATTTTAAGAGCAACATTCTGAGAACATGATAATTAATTGACCCGCATCCCCTTGGAGCTTCTTATCTGGTGCAGCTGACTTGGCCCTGCCATAGTTTAACAGTTTGAATAATGACACTGGTGAAACTGTAGAAAGCGTGCTCATCAGGCTTTCCGATGACTCCCAGCAAGAAAAGATAAGGGAGAATTGGATGATGGCTTCAGAATTCAGAAAGCTCTTAATAGGTTGGAGCAGTGGGTTGAATCTAATAGCTTGAAATTTTATAGCGATAACTATAATATTCTGTATTTAGTTCACATAACAGTGGAGTAAGCGCAAGGTTGAGCAAAAGCTGTGGAAATCACTGATATGCAGTAGTCCCCCTTTAGTGACGGGGGATATGTTCCGAGACCTCCAGGGATGCCTGCAACCAAGGATAATACCAAACCTTATGTGTGTACTATGTTTTTTCTATATATGCCTATGACAAAGTTAATTTATAAATTAGATACAGTAAGAGATGCACAAGAATAACTAATAATAAAATAGAACAGTTATTATAGTATGCCAGCAACACCACTCTTGTGCATCAGGGTCATTATTAAGTAAAATAAGGATGACCTGAAGATGAGCACTGCCATACCTGATAGTCAGTCTACTAAATGGGACGGCTACTACATGACAGTCAGGTGGGCAGTGTCTATGGTGTAGAGATGCTGGACAAAGGGATGATTCATGTCCTGAGTGGGAGAGTGTGAGATTGCATCATGCTACTCAGAATGGCATGGACTCTAAAACTGATAAATTGTTTATTTCTGGAATTTTCTATTTAATATTTTCCAACTGCATTTGATAGCAGTTCACTGAAACCGAGGAACGTGAAACTGTGGAGGAGGGACTACTTATATTGAAAAGCATTTATGCCTTCACCATTTAGATTAAGGACAAATACATCAACATATGTTAATAGCATAATAATGCTCAGGGTCTGTGAAAGTAAGTTCTGTTTCTTCTGATGATCTTAATAAGTCAAGATAAGATTGAGGAAGACGTTAAATATTATACAATTTTGTAAGTCATGAATGTGCTTAAGTTAAACAAGCTTGCCATTTAAAGAGGTAAACTAGTTATACATAGAAATATTACCTACTCTTTATGCAAAACTTCACTTCTCGAGGGTGTCAAATCATTCTTTCCCTGGAATTTCTGAAGATTTACATATTTTATTTTTTAATTGTACTTTTCTGTTTTAAAGATGAGGAGCAACACTGTTGAAGATTTACTGCTTTTTTCCCTAAGATGTAATTGTGATTTATATGCAATCAGAGAGGTAGATACTTAAGAATGGGGCCTTAGCTTTTGCATTCTAACTCCCATATGAACTTTTTTTATTGCCAGGGTTTTGTGAATTTTTTTTCCTTCCTATTTTGAACTGTTTTATTCTCTATTGTTGTGCATTTTAGGATCTAGTTTTTTGGTTTTCATTTTTGCTTAATAAATACAGGTAGTTCTTAGTTCTTATGGCCAGTGTTTTTTTAAATTAGAATGTTTCCTTAATAAATTCTTTGGTTTGGGGTTATTGGTTTGTATTAACTTGGACTCTCTAGGTTGCAAGTGACAAGATGTGGACTGACAGTTTAATAAGCTCATGAGGAGATACATTGGCTCCAGTAACAGAGAAGTCTTCCATGGGGAGAATGAGTGTCAAGTTTGTCCTTCAAACAGGACACTGTTTCTCTTTGTCATTCTGTGCTACATTGACTTCGTTTTTCAGACAGACTTTCTCCACACCTCAGCCAGTTAGCCATTGACAGCAATACCAGAGAGAAGGAGCACTGTCCCCAACTCCCATACCAAAGAGCTCTGAGAAAGAATTCTGATTATCCAGTTTCCAAAAGGAAGGGATGTGGGGCAGACAGAATAACAGATATGTACAACATAGGTCAGATAGAATGTGTATGGTCATACTCCTCTCTTTTCTCAGAAGAGGAGGTATGTGTTAAGAATGGATTATGCACATTGTGGGCAGATGTGTGCTTGCACACTTGGTATTCTAGTGTCTGGAGCATTGAATGGAGAGCTTTGAATCCACTAATGTTTATTTTACTGATAAGTAGATTAGTAGTTAATGGAACAGATACGTGAGATTGATGTCTAGTAGCCATTCATGTCATCTGTAATACTTTTTGAAAGGAAGAGATTAGTTGTGGTTGACAATATATATTGAATATATAGTTTGGAGTTATCCACTGACCAGGACTAGGTGGAAATTTAGCTCTTAGAAATAGTTGAAGAATGAGTTCTTGAAGTATAGCTAATAGTGGAAAATGCAGTATAGGAAAATGGACCATTTCTTTCAAAGACCACATGGAAAATAGATGGCAGTTGGGGTTGAGGCCAGCACCTCTGTCTGTTTGGATACTGTTAGTGGTAGACAAGAGGGGTGAGAAGGGGAAAGTGAGAAAACAGGTGGAGGCAAAATGCAAGGATAGGAAAGAGAAAAGAGGGGTGCTGGGAGATGACGCCCAAAAGCTTTCAGTTTAATTGAAGCTTTAGCATCTCTAGGCTGAATGGTCAATATGTTTTTTTATTGACATGTTATACTTATTTGGAGATATGGTTATTAAATCCTTTTTTCTCCAAAATTATTCTCAGTTCAGATTTCTAAGAAGCATCTGTTTAAGTCTTAATTCAGTGTTTTAGATAAACTTACAAGGTTTATAAACATTTTTCTGTGAATGTCCTTGTCTGTTTTGTGCTTACAACAGGAGATCTACGACTGGGTAACTTATAAAGAACAGAATTTATTCCTCATAACTGTGGAGGCAGGCGGTTCAAGATCTAGGTGCTGGCAGGGTAGGGCCCGGCTCTGCTTCCAAGATGGCGCCTTGAGTGCTCCCTCCTCCAGGGGTAAGGGTGTTGTGTCCTGACACAGCAGACGGGTGAGCGAGAGTAAACCCACTCCCACGAGCCCTTTTTGTAGCAGTGTTGATCCCCTCTTGAGGACAAAGCCTCCGTGACCTAAACGCCCCCCATTTGCCGCACCTCCCAATACCACTGCCTTGGGGGTTCAGTTTCAACATGAGTTTTGGAGGGTCCAAACCCTCTAACCTTAGCAGTGAGTAAGTGCTTAGTAATATTTAAGTGTGTGAGGCTGTTTCCATTTCTTTCTTTCTCACTTGTTTCACATTCTGCTTCACTACATTCTAAGTTTAGTAAACAAGAGGCTTAGGTATTCTATATTTGGAAACTAATTGGATTCAGCTGGATTTTTAAAAATTTCAGCAGGATTCTTGAGGACCAATAACACAACAGCAGGTTCCTCATGCCCGTGAGTGTGGCTTTGCTTCTCCCAGGCTCCACTCTGAGGGCTCGCTTCCTTCCAGCCCGTCCCCTGCCCGCATTTCTGTCCTGTCTGTCCTCATGGCAGGAAGGATCCAGGTTGATGCAATGTGTTTTTAAAAAACACCAGCCGGGCATGGTGGCTCACACCTGTAATCCCAGTATTTTGGGAGGCCGAGGCGGGCAGATCATGAGGTCAACAGATCGAGACCATCCTGGCCAACGTGGTGAAACCTCGTCTCTACCAAAAATACAAAAATTAGCTGGGTGTGGTGGCGCATGCCTGTAATCCCAGCTACTCGGGAGGCTGAGGCAGGAGAATTGCTTGAATCCAGGAGGTGGAGGTTGCAGTGAGCTGAGACTTGCCACTGCACTTTAGCCTGGCGACAGAGAGAGACTCTGGCTCAAACAAAACAAAACAAAAACAAAAACTACCGCAGCCAGGCATGGTGGCTCACGCCTGTAATCCCACACTTTGGGAAGCCAAGGCGGGTGGATCACCTGAGGTGAGGAGTTTGAGACCAGCCTGACCAACATGGTGAAACCCTGTCTCTACTAAAAATATGAAAATTAGCCAAGTGTGGTGGTAGGCGCCTGTAGTCCCAGCTACTTGGGAGGCTGAGGCAGGAGAATCGCTTGAACCCAGGAGGCAGAGGTTGCAGTGAGCCCAAATGGCATCACTGCACTCCAGCCTGGGCAACAAGAGCGAAACAGTCTCAGGAAAAAAAAAAAAAAAAAAACACCACATAACATGACAAGCAGAATTCTGTCCACTTTTGCAGCCATGTCAGGAAAACACCTCAGCATGGCTGCTTTGTTCTTCATGACGCCCTGAGGGGAGCCGTCCTGCTGGCCTGGGCGCCCTGCCATGATCTCCACTCGGGTCCCAGCCTCCAAGGATGGAGGTGGGGAGCTGCTGGGATGTCTTGACTCACAGGCTTTCCCACCATTTGTTTCTTCCCAACAGTTTACTAGGAGAAATTTCAGACATGGAGAAAGGTTGGAATTGAATACCATAGATCCACCATCTAGATTCAGTACCTGCTTTGTCACATATTCGTCCATCAGTCCATCTTACTATTTTTTATGTATTTCAAGATAGCATTTTGGCTTTTTTTTCTTAGTCTGTTATCACTAAATATGAACCTTTATTCTCATTAAAATAATTTCAGGCATCATTAAGCAAATACATAGAAAGGGCAATGGCCAACAAAAGGGCCTTTCAAGTTCTTGCCATATGGTGGGTGTTCAGTAAATATTGTTAAATTAGTGCACTTGCATTAGCCCTGTTAGACTAGCCCTGTCGCTAAACTTGAATTTGCCTTTGAGGACAAACAATTACTTTTAAACCATATGTTTCCTAGGCGCATGTGATCCCCAGTTTATAGGATGGACTTGAGGAAGATAGTCTGTGAAAGACAATCACTTAGAATTTGAAAAGGATTTAAATTATGTATTATATATTATAAAGGTATATATAAAACATTTTAAACACATACCTTGTTTTTACCACGGTGATTCTCTCTTGGGATACATGCACAGCAGTGTTCCAAGGAGTCAGTGTTTCTGGACCCTGTCTCAAGGATCCTCTTGAGGAAGAGCCTGCAAGAGCAGTCCCTCCTTACTCCAGCCAGAATAGCTTTGTCCTAGTCTGTCTTATATGAAATAAAAATTTCATTTAGGGCTGGTCATAGTGGCTCACACCTGTAACCCAAATACTTTGAGAGGAAGATCTCTTGAGCCCAGGAGTTTGAGACCAGCCTAGGCAACATGGTGAAACCTTATCTCTACAAAAAATACAAAAATTAGCTGGGCAGGGTGGCATGTGCCAGTAGTCCCAGCTACTGGGGAGGCTGAGGTGGGAGGATTGCTTGAGCCTGGTAGGTCGAGGCTGCATTGACCCATGATGGCACCACTGCACTCCAGCCTGGGTGACAGAGTGAAACTCTGTCTGGAAAAATAAATAAATAAAAGCTTTTATTTTAAGGAAACGTTTTAAAATCATGGCTGTTTAGGTAACTCGACCAGCACACACTGCCCTATGTAAGTCTTGGTATGGTGGAAGAGTACCCAAATCTTAAATTTCTGAGTTAATGTGGCTAAAGATGCTGCATTATCATTCTTATTAGATAAGGAGCAGTGAACATTTTAATAGCAAGCGATTCTTCTAAAGATGTGTGAATCTTAGATGTGTGTGCGTGTGTGTATGTCTCTGTCTTCAGTTTCTGAGAGTCAGTGTTCCCAGAATGAACAGTTTGTGTATTTCCACTTCTTACCTCCTAAGAGAAAGAAGATAGTCTGTTGTTGTTGTTAATGAAATAGGTGTTTGTTTGTTTGTTTTTTTAAGAGACTGCAGGGTCTCACTGTCGTGCAGGCTGGAGTGCAGTGGCATGATCCTGGCTTACTGTAACTTTGACCTCCTGGGCTCAAGCAATCCTCCCGCCTCAGTTTTTTCAGTAGCTGGTACTACAGGTGCTGGCTACAATGCCCAGCTAATTTTTCTTTAATTTTTTGGTAGAGATGGAATCTCGCTTTGTTGCTCAGGCTGGTCTCGAACCCCTGGCCTCAAGCAATCCTCCTGCTATTTAGTCTCCCAAGTAGCAGGGATTGCAGGTGTGAGCTGCTGCACTCAACCAAAATAGGTATATTTCGAGTAACTTTTTTAGGGTTGATCTCTAAATGCAATGTGGGCAGCTGCCAGAAACCTTCCCTGCCTCCGGAACAGAACAGGGCTATCACCGTTGGTGTTATTCTTCCTCAGAGTAGAGCAGATGAGTCATTTTGGTAATGTCTTCCTTTCTTCCAAAACAGCCACAGCCACTATCATGTTTGTACCAGCATGCTTAGAAAGTGAACTGTACACCTTTTGTGTTTTTACTACTCTGTTTGTGTTTGTAACATCCTCTTTTCCTCTCCACTCCTGATAGGCTCGGGTTATGTATGATTTTGCTGCTGAACCTGGAAATAATGAACTGACGGTTAATGAAGGAGAAATCATCACAATCACAAATCCGGTAAGAGAACTGTACATTCGAGTCTGATTGTCCCATGTGGACTTATTTTTAACAAATCCGGTAAGAGAACTGTACATTCGAGTCTGATTGTCCCATGTGGACTTATTTTTAAGATTTTATTTTTTTGTAAGTTAATCATTCAAACCCACATGATTTTTTTCCTGTTGCTTATGAAATATTGATGGTGAAGTAAGAAGCTGTTATATAAATACAGGAAAAAAGTTCCCTAAAGACAGTTATGTATGTAATTGAGTTTATTATGTCTGCTTATTTTGTATCTTCTTCGATATGTTTATCTTACAATTTTTTAAATTACTTACAACCTTTTAGGTACCCCATAGTTGTCCTGGAACATGGTTCAGTGTGTTTACCCCTAGCATGATAATACTGTATCTCTAGAATAAGTAAAAGATGATGGTGATTTTCCTAAATGTCTTAACTGATTGATCCTATCATCATTTTTCTAAGCTCTTTTCCTAAATCAGATTAGGTTGCCAGAAAGCAATATACTTAGACCAGCTCCAGTGGAGTTAGCTCAGCTCCCAGTGGAGTTCTCTTTGCTGAATTACAAGTTATTGCCTCAGCTTTTATTCAAACAAGAAGCAACTCTATGTATAAAAAGCATTTCTGCATCTTTACCAAACCCTGTTTGAAATTGTGTACATATACATACACACATGCATCTTCAGGTACACTCATATGTATACATATGTACACATAGATACACTCATCTTCAGATGTGTGTCTCTGCTTATATAACTGGGTTTATTATGCCCTCCCAGAGAAGCATCTATGTGATCTCTTATCTCAGGTTCTTTCTCCTGGAGATTGGGTACATTTTGTTTCATAAAGTCAAATCTTTGTAGACTATTGGATTTCTGTTATGGTCTGTGTTGTCAGGAAGCTTAGAGGCAAACATAATATTCATTTGTGTCCAATCTTCTTTGCCCAAGATTCTGTTACAGTTTTTTCCATTATTTCTGTGTGATACTTGTCTCATTACATTTAATTGTCCTTTTTACATGTAACTTTATTGTAACTGTTCTTAAAATATGTAGCAAAATTATGAGATGAACATCATTTGAAATAATGTAACAAAAATTGTATCAATTAATAGTATTTCATTGCAGGCTTATATAGATGGAGAAGGAACAAAAGCAGATAGGGAGAATTTGTCTTTGTAAACTGAGTAAAACTTGAACCCATCGTTACCTGCTTTCTTCACCTGGCTGATTTCGTGACACTGCCCTGTGCATGCCTGTCCTTGGTCCACGCCTCCGCCTCTGGGCCCCACACTGCAACGTGTCTCTTCTGTGTCCTCTCCCTCGTGACCGTCACTCATACTTAATGTGTGTGCAGTCTTGGGAGAGGTACCCTGGAGATACAAAGACAGGAAACCTGGCCCTTGCCCTGTGCTCCTTGTTTTCCAGAGAGGTCTGCATGCCAGTGTTTCTTACTGAATGTTTCCAGAAGGGAACTTGTTGTGTCTGTGCTGTAGAACATGTTGGATCCCACACACCTCTCCCCGGCCTCACTGGCTGTCCTCTTGTGTCCCTCCCCTCTCTGCCTCACGAGTGTTGGGGTTCCCACGTCATTCCACCTTCAGCCCATTTCTTTACACTATGCGGTCTCAGATTTTTGTATTGCCGTCTCTGTGGTGATGACTTTAAACCTGTATCTGCAGCTTCCTCCTGTGGCTCCAGCCTCAGAGGAGGCCAGACACCTTCACCTAGTTTTTTCACAAGCACTTCACACTGACCACGTCCAGACTCAGCTCATCACCCATGTGATGCTCAGCCTACTCCTACTTCTCTGTATTTCTCTGTATTTCTGTTGTGGCGCCTTTCCATTCAGTGAACCAAGGCCCCCAAGGCTAAGTCACTTAAAGCCATTGGTTTCTCTCCCTAGAGTTTTACTCTGTCCAGCCTCTTCTCTCCACCCTGCGCTTCCTGCCAGCGCCCTGAGCTAAGCTCTCATCCTCTTGCCTGGACCATGCACCTTCCTCACTGGCCTTGCCTCAAGCCCAGGGTCTGTCTAAACGGCCAGTGTGGCCAGGTCATTCCTCGCTGGCAGCATTTTCTGTCAGCTGTAGGTCTGTGAGACACCCCACCATGGGCCCCATCAGACCTCGCCAGCCTTTCCCTGTGCACGTGCACAGGCACACACACGTGCACCCATGTACGTACTCTCACGCACTCTCTCACATTATGCATACCCCCACACACACTCGCACACACCCTTATGCGTGCACATGCACACACATGCGCACACACCTCGCACCCTCATACACCTCTCATGCTCTCATACACTTTACATACTCTTTCACGTGTGCACTCTTACACACACGTACCTTCTCACTCTCACCTCTCATGCACACCCACAGTCGCATGCTCACACACATAGGCAGCACTCACACGTGTGAGCACGCACACACACCCTCTTCACTCTCACTTGCCCTCATCCGCACTCATGCTGTCACACATACACCTGCACTCACACATGTGAGCACACACACCCCTCACTCACCTGCTCTCATGCACACCCACACTCATGCTCTCACACATACACATATGCACTCACACATGCAAGCACACACATCCCCTCAGACACTCTCACCTGCTCTCTCACATCCCCACGCTCATGCTCTCACATATGCACTCACGTGTGAGCACGCACACACACCTACTCTCTCACCTGCGCTCACACTCACACTCATGCTCTCACACATGCAGCACTCACCCGTGTGAGTGCATGTACCCCTCAGACACTGTCACCTGCTCTCACACACGCACACTCACATGCTGTCACACAGATGCAGCACTCACCCGTGCAAGCACATACACCCTGCAGATAGTCTCACCTGCTCTCACACATACATGCACTCACCTGTGCAAGCACGCACACCCCTCAGACACTCTCACCTGCTCTCACACATATATGCACTCACCCGTGCAAGCACACACACCCCTCAGACACTCTCACCTGCCCTCACACATACCCACACTCTCCTGCTCTCACACAGATGCAGCACTCACCTGTGCAAGCACATACACCCTGCAGATAGTCTCACCTGCTCTCATACATACATGCACTCACCTGTGCAAGCATGCACACCCCTCAGACACTCACCTGCTCTCACACATATATGCACTCACCCGTGCAAGCACACACACCCCTCAGACACTCTCACCTGCTCTCACACATACCCACACTCTCCTGCTCTCACACAGATGCAGCACTCACCCGTGCAAGCACGCACACACCCCTCAGACACACTCACCTGCTGTCATGCACACGCACACTCGCATGCTCACACAGAGCTCCTGTGGAAGGAGAGAGTGAGAACTGTGGCAGTGCCAAGATCGAGGAGGGAGAATGAGGAACGGCAGAAGTGATGGTAGTTTTTGAATAGTGAGCATATTTAGAAAACGTACTTTATATGTCTTGGATTGAAAAAAGAATCGGCCAGGTGCAGTGGCTTACACTTGTAATCCCAGCACTTTTGGAGGCCGAGGCAGGGGGATCGCTTTGAGCTCAGCAGTTCAAGACCAGCCTTAGTAACATGGCAAAACCTCATCTCTACAAAAAATACAAAAATTTAGCCGGGTGTGGTAGTGCGTGCCTGTAATCCCAGCTACTTGGGAGACTGAGGTGGGAGGGTCACTTGAGCCCAGGAGTTCCAGGCTGCAGTGAGCCAAGATGGTGCCACTGCATGTCAGCTTGGGAGACAAAATGAGACAGTGTCTCAAAAAAAAGAAAATCACTGGGTAGAAAAAGATTATGTAGTAATTTTGTATAATATGCTAGGTGTGCATGTTCTCATTCATAGGTGGGAATTGAACAATGAGAACACTTGGACACAGGGCGGGGAACGTCGCACACCAGGGCCTGTCGTCGGGTGGGAGGAGGGGGGAGGGATAGCATTAGGAGAAATACCTAATGTAAATGACAAGTTAATGGGTGCAGCACACCAACATGGCACATGTATACCTATGTAACAAACCTGCACGTTGTGCACATGTACCCTAGAACTTAAAGTATAATAATAATTTTTAAAAATTTTTAAAAATGCTAGATGTGTATAAGTTAAATAGATTCAGTTTTAATCATAGCAGAGATTAAAGATTCTTCAGTCTTACCTTTTTTTTTTTTTTTTTTTTGCAGACAGGCTCTCACCCTGTCACCCAGGCTGGAGTGAGGTGGTGTGATCTTGGCTCACTGTAACCTCTGCCTTCTGGGTTTAAGCAATTCTCATGCCCCAGCCTCCCGAGTAGCTGGGATTACAGGTGTGAGCCACTGTACCCAGCCTCATCTAATTTCTTTATTGAAGTATTTAATTTTTCTTGGTAAAATAGCAACTTGTCCTCAAGTTGCTATTGTGGTCAGAAAGTGACAAAAGTTGTGGCTTAAAGTGATTTTTTAAGAGAATGTGATTATTCAGATTCAGATTATTAACTAATTAGGGCATTATTTTAAAACTGTAAAAACTCTTACTATGTTAAGATGAGAAAGTGGGACCTGCCCCTTAACATTGTTAATAATTAATAATAATATCAACATTAATAGTTTAATATTTAGATAAAGTTTCTTCCAAGGATAGCAACTTCTATTCTGAATAAAAGTTACAATTTTTCCTTTGATCATAGATTGAAATGGCAATACTGGGATATAGAGTTCTACTTTATTACTTAGTTTATTAATATTATTTATCCAGAAGAACTGAGGAACCATGGATCAGTTCACTTTTTCTGCATAACAATCCTAAAACTTACTAGTTTAACCCAGTAACCATTTGTTACTGCTTAGGAATCTACAAGTCAGCTTGATGGTTCTCCTGAGCTGCACTGCGTGTGTCTGCAATCACTGGACCCTGCTGGGGACTGACTGGTCTAAGGTAGCCTCACTCATGAGTCTGCCAGTTCTCTGGGTTGGCTGGCTTTGAATGGGGCAACAGGGAGACTGGGTCTCTGTCATCATCTAGCAACCCACATTAATTCGTATAGCGACTTGGGTGCCAGAAGAGTCAGCTGAAGTGTGCAGAAGCCCTTGAGGCAAGGTTCTGGATTCCCTGGAGGATTTCCACTTGATTCTGTTGACCAGCGAGGTGGCAGAGGGCAGATTCCAGGCCTGGGATGCGCATCCCACCGCTTCACATTCAGAGCTGCAAGCCACTTTTATTATCTGCCGCAGACCAGTACACAGACAAGATGAGGGTCATCTAATCATCAGCTGTTTTCAATCTTTGATCACTTATTATTGAAGTTTGATTTTTCTTGTTTTTAGGTTACATCATTTTCTGAAGTAAAGAGAAGGCTTAAGAATTTAAGATTTTGAACGGTGTTCTCTAGGAATGAAAAGCTTAATGTTAATTGCTTTTTTTATGTATAACAATTCCTCCACACAAAATTTCTCCAGGAAATCTCAACTGTAATCTTTTTCTTTTTTTTTTTTTTTTGGTGACTTATTAGGATGTAGGTGGAGGATGGCTGGAAGGAAGAAACATCAAAGGAGAACGAGGGCTGGTTCCCACAGACTACGTTGAAGTAAGAGCTTCCTGTCATTCATTCATTAGAGCTCATCTTTGCCAGGCATCTTTTTATGAATTATCAACTTACAAGAAGTCAGCAACTTTTTGCAAAACAAAATTTCCATTGTAAATATAATAAATGTTAACTATATAAAATATGGAAACTACATTGAAATAGAACTAAGAAAAATATTACCTGTAGACCCAAGCTTCAAAGAATGACTACAGATATTTAGGTTAAGTTTCTTCCAGGGATAGCAACTTTTAATTGGTCTGAATAAAAGTTAGTATTTTTCCTTTGCTAATATTATCTATATTATAAATATATATTATAAATTGTATAAATTCAATAAGATATATGAAATTATATCTCAATATATCTGTTAATATATACATTTTAAATATATATTTATATTTTTATAAGCAAAATATATAAATTTTATAAAATGTATTATAAATTATATAAATTATAAATATAGATATATATTTATAATATGACACATATAACGTATTTTTCCTTTGCTGATATTGCTGCCATCTATAATATTGTTTATTGTACAATAGACTCACAGTTTAAATAGATTTTTTTAAGTGCATATCTCAGTTCCTTCTCCCATTCCCATAGACAGAGGGGTGTCTTGGGGGAGCTGCTGTGGGGATCTCCTGGGTAGAGCTGTTAGGATGGATACCCAGGAGAGCAACACAGCAGCCTGGGCTGGTCCTGCCTGGGACACCCCCAAGCTGAGCCAACCACCTGGCGCCCCCTGCTGGTTGTCTTTCGGTCCCTCCAAACCGAGCGAAGGTTCTTGGTAAGCTTGTCTTTCATGTTGGGTGACAGAAAGAAGCGAAGGTTTCCTGATGCCCTGTGAGTACAACTGGAGCTAGATCAAGAATAAAGGTACCTTTGGTTCACCTCCAGGAGAAAAGAATTCCCCCCAGAGGATGTTTACCTGGGACCTGTCTGCAGAGTGAGATCTAAGGCCGTCCTTCTGTTGTTGATAGACAGTGAGGGTGGGGAGTCATGACCCCTCAGAGAATCCGATGCAATCTCTAGGCTTTCCCTCAGAAACGTGTGCCCATGCACACACCACAGCCTTTTCCATACAACTGCAACCCCCTATTCACAGGCCCCTGGCCTCACTCCGTAGGTCTTATGTTGAAGTCTTGTTTTACTTGTATGCACTTTGCATCCAGGAGCCCACAAATTGACAAGATTGAGAAAAATCTGAGAATTTAAGTTGATATTGGCAGTAATTGGATTTTCTAGGATTCTGCTTATATAAAGGAATAGTGATTACAGATATTCTTGGGTTTGCTTACCTTTAAGAATATAAAACCCCCTCTATTAGAAATAGATCCTGCAGGCAGAAAATCAGTAAGGACGTGGTTGAACTCAGCACCATCAATAAATTGATGTCCACTTAGGGACATCTATAGACTGCTTCATCAAACCACAGCAGCATACACATTCTTTTCAAGCTTACATGGAACATTCTCTAAGACAGACCACATATTCTGAGCCATAAAACATACCTCAACATGTTTGAAAGAAATCATACAGTGTCTGCCCTGAGACCACAATGGAATCACACTAGAAATCAAAACAGAAAGATAGATGGAAAATCTGTAAATACTTAGAGATTGAACAATCCACTTCTAAATAATGCATGGATCAAAGAAGAAATCTCGAGAAATTAAAAAATAGTTTGAACTAAATAAAAATGAAAATACAACCCATTAAAATATGAGTATGCGGCAAAAGCAGTGCTTACAGAGAAATTTGTAGCATTGAAGAATATAAACCCTTTTTGACAATTCTTGCTTGCCCTCGAAGACTCCCTGAAGTGACCGTAATCTATGAAAATAATTGCGGCTCTTTCTCCTATTCAGATTTTACCCAGTGATGGAAAAGATCAATTTTCTTGTGGAAATTCAGTGGCTGACCAAGCCTTCCTTGATTCTCTCTCAGCCAGCACAGCTCAGGCCAGTTCGTCGGCTGCCAGCAACAATCACCAGGTACGTCTCACTTCCTCCTTCTGGATGTGGCTGGCTTTACGGAAAACAGAGCGTATTTGTGAAGGCTTGTGATGCATTATAGCTATTGCCATTCCCCAAAAGCAAAAACAAAGTCGCTTTTAGGTTGTTCTGTGGCATTTCTGTTGGGTACTAACAAAGAAATCACCTGTTAAGCCTGATAATGACTGTTTGCAAAATTTATTATAAGAGAAAAGGCAGGGTATTGAGGGTTGCTTTTAGAAGTCTGTCATGATATGAACACAGACCCCAGAAACTGCAAATACCCTCTTAGATAAAGGCATGGAAAGAAGAGGAAGAAGAGGAGGCTCTTGTTGTTGAGGAGGTCAGTGTCAGAGCCTCGGCCTGGATCAGGAAATAGATGCCCTGGCCCTGGCATGTTGCTTACACTCTCAGAGCTAGAGGCCCTCATCCTGCGAGTAGAAGCAGTGCCTGTGAAAGTCTACCAGATCCAGGCACTCAGCACTTGGTACTCTTATTGTATTGCTTCCAGGAAACTTAGAATAGTGGGATAACTTGAGAAGAATACAAGGAAATTTTACATTAATTTTAATTAAAATTTGACTAGTTTAGGTGAATTTGTCTAGTTCATTTATTGCCAAATGATGACACAGAGTAAGTGACAAGAAGAAAATTGAGAAGACAGGTATCAAAATATTGTTGCTGCTGGGCACAGTAGCTCACGCCTGTAATCCCAGCACTTTGGGAGGCCAAGGCAGGTGGATTGCTTGAGTGCTGGAGTTCGAGACAAGCCTGGGCAACACGATGAAACCCCATCTCCACACGTTAAAAAAAAAGTTAAAAAAAAAGAATTAAAATATTGTTAACTGCTTACATCTTTAGAAATGAATGGGCTTTAGGAGATGTTATTTCTTGATTTTTTTTTTAACTACATAAAAGGTTTTAAATTCTATCAGGCCTGATGATAATCATATCACTTACAAGTATTTGCTTATAAAATATCTGTTTATTAGCCAGGCACAGTGGCTCACGCCTGTAATCCCACCAGCACTTTGGGAGGCCGAGGCGGGCGGATCACCTGAGTTCAGGAGTTTGAGACCATCCTGGCCAACATGGTGAAACCCCATCTCTACTAAAAATACAAAAATTAGCTAGGTGTGGTGGCAGGCACCTGTAATCCAAGCTGCTCGGGGGGCTGAAGCAGGAGAATGACTTGAACTGGGAGGCGGCCACTGCAGTAAGCCGAGATCGTGCCACTGTACTCCAGCCTGGGCGAGTGAGACTCCTCAAAAGAAAAAGAATATCTGTCAATTGACCTTCCAAGTGAGTTTATATAAGTTTATCACCATATACTAACTGCAGGTTTTATACATTTCAAAACAGCTTTTTGTAGACATTCTGAATTACAAATTAGACTCAGATATTTAAAATTTGCAGGCAAGGTGATTGATCACTGTAATTGAAGAATTCTCTTCTGTATTTTATTATTCTATACTACTTGAGAACATTGGCCAGGTAAGGGTTACTCACTGTGAAACGTGAATAGTAGTTATACCTCACTGGAAGTTTTCCCAGGGGTTCTCAACCTGAGCCTCATTGCCGTTTGAGGCCCCGCGCCCTTTCCTAGTGGGGCGGGCCCATCCTGGGCACTGCAGGATATTGAGCAGCCTTCCTAGCTTCTACCTACCAGGTGCCAGTCACATGCACGCCACCTCAGTTGTGACAACCAAAAATGTCTCCAGATATAGCCAAGTGTTGCCTAGGAGCAAAGCCAAGCCAGTTGAGATTCACTGAGTTATACAGAAGCACCCATGAAATGGGTTTGCATTAATAAAGGACAAGATTTTAATAAAAGAATTGTAATGAGGTAATGAGATCATAGAATAAGTGAGGCAAACAAAAAATAGAAATATTTATCTTATTTTAATTCTAGGGACTGACCAGCTATTATCTCAAGATAGGTGGAGGCAGTTTAGCTAATGAAAAGAAATTAAAACTCAGATTTAAGTCATGTTCTGTTAGGAAATATATTCCTTGGTATTTACTTGTAGTTTAATATAAACTGGTATAAGTCTAAAATTTGTTTCGTTTAGGTTATTTAGAAGGTAATAAAAGAAAAAAAAAGCGGGGGGGGCATCTAGTCTAACATTGAATCTAATCAGATCCTTTGAAAGCAAAGAAAAATGAACTGAAACTAGAATTAACAAAATGCAGAAAGCATAGCCGTCATTAATTTGAGCATTTGAATTTAATGTAAATCAAGTAAAAATATTTTAACTGCTATCTCTGCCCTCTGTTATCTGGGATATGAGAACAATTTAAGTAGGCCAAAATTTGGGTACATTTTGTAAATACCATGAAAGATGTCACGAGTAGGAAACCAGATGACCATTAATTGGTAGCTTTTTAAACATTTTCCTATCAGGTTTGCCCATTGCTTTCATTTTCTGAATGCGGGTAGGAAGATGTGTGCTCTGAGGTGAGCTGCTTGGGAGGCTCTGATTGCCTGTGCTCTCTCCCAGGGTCGGTTTTGTTTTGAGAGCGGGAACCTCAGAGAAGCTGGGCCTCTCTCCTGTCCATCAGGCCCATGGGCACATCCCCTCTCAGGCATGCATCTCTTCAGCTTGGCACACTCTGCCAACTTCTGAGCCAGTGTCTCTTTACTCATCTTAGCATCAGTAAGTTTAAATTTGACTCTCCTCCCACACAAGCAAGTTGAAGCCCCACATTCAGTTGGTTATCCAACTTCCTGAGTGTCGTATTTTTCTTTAAGTATATCTTTTTAAAGATCTCTTTGAATAACTTATTTCGAGCCTGCTACTCTTTCCTTGACTTTGTATTCTTAATCTGTGCTGCATTTCAGAGTAACTAGTTCATAAATGTATAACCTACTATGTAAGATAGCACTTTCTTTTGGTTTTTCTTAAAACTCCTAATTTCAGGTTGCTTGGGGGACCCTTTGGTTCTAGATTCTTACTGAGTAGTCTCAGGTGAGCAGAGTTGCTGGTGTCAAGGCAGTGTTGCTGCATCCAGGTCCCTGGCCCACTGTGATTGCTTTCCTCTTTTGGTGGTGAGAAAACGCTTTATCAGCCAAAACGCAGTTCAGCTTGGCTGCAGTTTAGACTAGAATTGTCAGTGTGAAAGGAATATGATGAGTTGTTCTTTAAATGGACTGAAACAGTTTGATTTGGAAAATTATAAAGCTGTTTATTAAACTACTTGGAGAAAATAATAGACAGCATTTTTTTTATGATCTTGGAATATGGAAGCCCACCATTTTTTTTTTTTTTTTGAGACGGAGTCTCGCTCAGTCGCTCAGGCTGGAGTGCAGTGGCGTGATGTCAGCTCACTGCAACCTCTGCCTCCTCCTGGGTTCAAATGATTCTCCTGCGTCAATCTCCTGAGTAGCTGGGACTACAGGTGCCCGCCACTACGCCCAGGTAATTTTTGTATTTTTGGTAGAGATGGGGTTTCACCATATTGGCCAGGCTGGTCTCAAACTCCTGACCTTGTGATCCGCCCACTTCAGCCTCCCAATTGCATCCGGCCTATGGAAGCCCTTTCTGAGACTGACAGCACAAAGTCTAGTGGCCATTAAGGATATAATTGATACATTTAAGTAAACAAGTAATATTAAATTAGCAAAAATACTTCTGACTTATGACGGATACAGGCTAATTCCATTCATATACATACACTCTTGCTAATCTGTAAGAAAAAGATGAAGAATTCAGAAAAATAGGTAAAGTGTATAAACAGGCTGTCCTTTGGTGGGGGAAGGTACTAATAGTTAATATACTTGGGAAAATGCTCATTTTAAGATTCTTCTATCAAACTAGCAGAGAATGAAAACAGTTTAAAAGCTAGTGTCATACAGGTGTGGTCAGACAGGCAATGTCATACAAAGCGAGGGAAAGGATAAAGTGATGAAGCTTTTCGGGGCTGGTTCGGTAATGTATATGAGTATTTACAATGCATATCTCTAAGGCCCAGCGGTTCTGAGTTCCTCCTGCAGATCTGCTCGCAGAACGCAGGTTTCTGGGCAAGAACGTTTCCTACGGCATTGTTTGTAACAGCAGAAAACCGGAATGTAAATGTCTGTCAGCAGGGGACTGATCAGATGAACTATAGGCAGCCACGCAGTGGAAAGCTGAGCTTCCCTTAGGGAGAGTGAGGGTAGATTTAGATGTACAGATAGAGGTATGATTTTTTTAAAAGGCACCTCAGTATGGGTAATGTTATCTTTCTTGTGTTTCAGTGCACACACATACACACACACCATAGATGCAAAGTGTGTAGAAAATGTATTGAAGGATACCCAGGAACTGAATCAAACTCTCTTCATTTTCTTATTCAAATACAGATTTTATATTACCCAGATAAGGACAACCATTTTATTACCTTTGAAAAGAAAGCATAGTTTTTAGTGGTTAATATTAGTTTCATTATTAGTTACTTATCGGTTATTTCACAGTTTCAAGAGTATTTCACGTTAGTGGCTGAACCACTAGAATGAATGGACCAGCTGATGGGAATGAATCTCAATTGTTAAAAATCTCTACTCCTGTGTGTGCTAGTCTTGTTTTTCATCAGTTATTGTTGTTTAGATTACATCACTGCTGTGATTCTGAAAAGGTTTCAGTATAGATCTTAAACTCTCAGATTACTGCTTCTTTAGAGTACTTACTTTTGAGAAATTAATAGAAAGTTTTTGTTTGTACCTTTCTAAAGAATGAGAACAATGAGGTTTAAAAGCTACTTAAAAGTTCTGTAAACCTAGATGTCTTATCTGAAGGTTTTCTACTTGAGAGGTTTGTTTTCTGTCTCCTTCAAATACTAGAAAGATGTGTATACTTGGAATAAAGCTGCTTTTGTTTTGCTGAGAGCCCTTCTGGCCTCTGTCACATGCTCTCCCTGGCATCTCTCTGTTTTTCTGTTTCACACCCCGCCAGTCCCCAGGTGAGTGGTGTGGTGGGAAGCATGTAAGCTTTGCTGTTAGATCCAGGCTTGCCAGTGCGGCTCCACTGTGTAAGAATTGTGGCTTTGGCATAAGACCTGCCTCCTGAACCTCCTGAATAGTCAGTGGATTAGGCCACCAATATAAAGTAGTGCCGGACACATGGAAGATATTTCATAAATATTTTCCTTCTTTTCCCACTTCTTCCCTCCTTTAAAAGGGGGTCTTCAATCCACTTACCCTTTTGTGTTCCAGCCTCTCTCACTATTCTACCCTCTCTAATCGTGTAGATTCCCTTATAAAGTGTCTCTCTAATCTTGAATTTTCTCTTTGATTTGCCCAATTTCTAGCTTTTTGTTGAACAGTTCTATCAGCATGTCTCCTTTGTATCTGAAATTCATCTTCAACCGAATCACTTATTTCCCCACAAAACTAGTTTCTCTTCCTGACTTTCCTGTTTCTGTTTCTCTGAAATGTTACTTCTTTCTGTGCCCTCTTTTTATTCTGCTTTAAAACCCTAACCGAGTGCCATCGTGAGCCACAGTTATTGAGAGGCGTGCTCTGCATCCTTGAGATGTGGAAAGAGGGAACTGATTGAGATCCATTGTTCTAACAGATTTCCTGTCTTTTCTCTCCTCCTTAAGAGGCAACCTAGCTTGGTGTCAAGGCAGTGAGTTTAGGAGCCAGACTGTCTAGGTTTTAATCCCAGATCTCACACATCCTATGTGAATCAGGGTAAGCTGCTTAGCATCTCTGTGCCTCATCTGTAAAACCTCATGGGATTTTTGGAAAAAGTAAATGAAAAAAGAGTTCTAAAGTATTTAGAAGAGTACATGGTACTTAGTAGTGGTTTAATAATTGTTAATTATAGTTATCTCATATACCACTGCTTCTAAAACAAGACATTAAGGACAGGCACACTTCATTTATTGCCCTTTGCTTTATTGCACTTGACAGATAATGCATTATTTACAGATTGAAAGTTTTTGGCACCCCCTGCATTGAGCAAGTCTATGGGCGCCATTTTGTCAACAGCATGTACTCACTTGGTGTCTCTGTTTCACGTTTTGTTAATTCTTGCAATGTTTCATACTTTTTCATCATTATTATATCTGTTTTGATGATTCATGATGAGTGATCTTTGATGTTACTATTGTAATTGTTTTGAGGCACCACAATGGCGAGCTTAATTGACATGTTTTATGTGTTCCGCCTGTTCTACCCGCCAGCCATACCCTCGTCTTTCTCCCTCTCCTTGGACCTCCCTATTCTCTGAGACACAACCGTATTTCAGTTAACCAATTATTAACCCTGCAGTGGCCTCTAAGTGTTTCAGTGAAAGGAAGAGTCGCATTTCTCTCACTTTAAATCAAGAGCTAGAAATTATTAAGCTTAGTGAGGAAGGCTTGTCAAAAGCTGAAGCAGGCCAAAAGCCAGGTCCTCTTGAGCCAAACACTTAGCCAAGTTGTGACTGCAAAGGAAAAGTTCTTGAAGGAAATTAAAAGTAGTAGTCCAGTGAACACTTGAATGATAAGAAAGTGAAATAGCCTTATTGCTGATAAGGAGAAGGTTTGAGTGGTCTGGGTAGAAGATCAAACAGGCCACAACATTCCCTTAAGCCAAAGCCTAATGCAGAGCAAGGTCTTAACTATCTTCAATTCTGTGAAGGCTGAGAGAGGTGAGGAAGCTGCAGAAGAAAAGTTTGAAGCTAGCAGAAGTTGGTTCATGAGGCTTAAGGAAAGAAGCTGTCTTCATAATATAAAAGTGCACGGTGAAGCAGCAGGTGCTGCTGTGGAAGCTGCAATACATTATCCAGAAGATCTAGCAAAGATTATTGATGATGGTGCTGCACTAAACAGATTTTCAGAGCAGATGAAACAGCCTTCTATTATTGGAAGAAGATGCCATCTAGGACTTGCACAGCTGGAGAGGGGAAGCCAGTGCCTGCTTCAAAGTTTCAAAGAACAGGCTGACTCTCTTTAAGGGGCTAATGCGGCTGGTAACTTTATGTTGAAACCAGTGCTCGTTTACCATTCTGAAAATCCTAAGGGTCCTTAGAATTATGCGGAATCTACTCTGCCTGTCTTCTGTAAATTGAATAGCCAAGCCTGGATGACAGCACATCTGTTTGCAATATGATTTACTGAATATTTCAAGCCCACTGTTGAGACCAACTGCTGAGAAAAAAAGATTTCTTTCAAAATATTACTGCTCATTGACAATGCCCCTGGTCACCTAAGAGCGCTGATGGAGATGTACATGAAGATTGATGTTTTCATGCCTGCTAATACAGCACTTATTCTACAGCCCTTGGATCGAGGAGTAATTTTGACTTCTAAGTCCTATAAGAAATACATTTCGCAAGGCTATGGCTGCCATAAATAGTGATTCCTCTGATGGATCTGGGCAAAGTACATCGAAAACCTTCTGAAAAGGATTCATCGTTCTGGATGCCATGAAGAACATTCATGATTCATGGAAGAAGGTCAAAATGTCAACATTAACAGGAGTTTGGAAGAAGTAGATTCCAACCCTCATAGAAGATGTTCATGAAGGAAGTAACTGCAGATGTGGTAGAAATACTAAGAGAACTAGAATTAGAAGTGGAGCCTGAAGATGTGACTGAATTTCTTCAACCTCATGATAAAACTTGAACAGATGAGGAGTTGCTTCTTATGGATGAGCAAAGAAAGTGGTTTCCTGAGATGGAATCTATTCGTGGTGAGGATGCTATGAACATTGTTGACAACAAATGATTTAGAATATTCCATAAACTTAGTAGATAAAATAGCAGCAGGATTTGAGAGAATTGATTCCAGTTTTGAAAGAAGTTCTACTGTGGGCAAAATGCTATCAAACAGCATCACATGCTACAGAGAAATCTTTCATGAAAGGAAGAGTCAATTGACATGGCAGACTTCATTGTCTTGTTTTAAGAAGTTGCCACAGCCACCCCAACCTTCAGCAACCACCACCCTGATCAGTCAGCAGTCATGAACATCAAAACAAGACCCCCCCGCCACCCCAGCAAAAAGGGTGCAGCTTGACTAGTGGAAGGCTCAGATGATCGTTAGCGATTTTTAGCAATAAAGTATTTTTAATTAAGATATGTATTTTTTATACATAATGCTCTCGCACACTTATACGGTATAGTGTAACCATAACTGTTATGTACACTGGGGGACCAAAAAAGTCCACATGACTCACTTTAACGTGATGGACTGGAACCAAACCCTCAGCATTGCTGACGTATGCTTTTATGTCATCTCCTTGTTTAAGAAACTTCAGAGTCTCCTCTATTGCCTTCTGGAATAATCATTTGCTACATGTCAGCAGGGCTATCCCAGGAGAAGGTCTTTGTGTATCAGAGTTAGGCAAGCAGACGCTGAACGGTTCATGGTAGGGAAACTGTAGAAGAAATTCATCTGAATTTGAGGTTGAAGTACTTTTCCAAGCTCAGTTCTATTTCTGTGATGCCTCAGTGTGGCTACCCATCATCACCTTATCTTTAAGTTATGTATTTGTCTCCAGGCAAACTGATGATTCTCCAAATATGTCCCATGCTGTCTCACCTTTTATTTGTACCTTTGGCTTGCTCTTCTGAGAATAACAGAGTGACTCCTTCCATCTTTCAGAAGCCCATCTCTTCAGGTTCAGCTCAAATACCATGTCTTCTATAAAACCTTTTGTTTTCTGTTTTACTTCTCTGGATTCCCTTAGCACAATTTGTGACTCTTATACAAATTATATTGCTTATTTGTAAATTGTTAAGCTTGATAAGCAAAGAATTTATCTTTTTTTCTATTCCCAGTGACCTATAAGAGACTTTGTACCATAATACTCTGTTCTTGTTTGAATAATTTTTTTTCAGTTATAAATACATCAAAAGGTACTTTACAATGTAAGGTATTAAAAGACTTACAGATTTCCTGAATCCCTGCCTTGGAGAAGTTTGTGTTCTTAACACCGACCACAGGCCTAGGAGCTGTCCATCACTGGCCTGTTATTCTCCCATCTGACGGGCTACCCAATCAAAAATGGGAAGATTCTCTTACAGAAAATTCTCTGGCATTGTTATTTTTTTAAAACAGTTTGGATATTAAACAAATGCTTGAAGTTAAGTGGTATTTAAGGATATAACATTTTTCTCTACAGAGATTTTCCATGTAATTATATTTGTTGCAAAGGAATTTTTATTGGTTATAGGATGAGGAAGGCAATGGTAATTTTATGTTGGAACTACATTTTGCTTTCTTAGTTCTCAAAAGTCTATTTTTAGGCCATTTTAGGCCTTTTTTGGTAGTCCATTTAAAAATAAATTGATAAAAGAAACCCTCACAAAGGTTCAGTATTAGATGTGCTTATACCTTCATTAACTCACATAAGTCTTATAATGCCTTAGACATCTCGTAATTGCTTATTGAGACTTTCTCTTTACAGAACTTTATTGAAAAGGTTCTTTCCATCTCTTCACTCTCACTCCCACCCCCCCGTATGAATTCTTTTTAGTTGGTAATAGGGCTTTTTAAGGAAGATCATATACCAGTGTTAGAGGATTTATGGACATTTGCCTTCAGAACTGCATGAGGCTGTCATTACTAACCTTGTGTGCTTTTTCACAGATCCCTGACATCTATGAGACAGCTTTGTTCATCTCAGGAACCTTTCAAAAATACATGCTGGTGAAGTTTGTTATATAGGGTGGTTTTTGTTTGTTTTGTCTAACTGGAAACAAACTATTAAAGCAAAGTCTTTTTTTTTAACCTTAAAACTGCAGTGATGAAGGACCAGCCAGCATTGTTATACGTACATCCTGTCATCAGCACAGTGTAAAAGCTTATTTCACATGGACTTCTCTTAGGTCTGTCTGGAAGCAAATTATTTGCTGATTGTAGCGCCATCCTATTCTGTACTCAAAGCTACCTATTTTAGGACTTTGAGCTATCTGAGTAAGTAGACTCTCTAAGCTAATACAAACATTATCCATTTACCTTAAGTAAATTTTTAGTGTTTTAATTATCTTTATTTAAAAAATAAACACCTGAAATTGACATCTGTAGGTTCAGAATATGACTTAACAAAGGATTTGTTAAATAATTTCACCTCTTTTGGTAATTCCCAATCAGTAATGTTGATATGACTGGCTATAAATAGATTGAGTCTGCTGTGATCTACCTTCATTTTTAGAAGAATGTACAAGTTTTATGTTCCACCAGTGGTTTTCTAACGTCAGTACAGATTCATCTGTAGAATTAGGTCATGTCCTTTGAGCCAAAGATCTGTAAAGAACAAAACAGGAAACTTGTCAAATTCTTCCGTATTTTGAGCTAAAGTGGTTAGATTTTTTTATATAAGAGAATATTATAACCTCTTCAGTCCCTTTTGAGGAAAAGAGTTAAATTTTTGTCAGAAATTCTGGTTTAGATGTTCTCTGGTTTAAGAATCAGATATTATTTGCTTTCTATTCCTACTTCCTAACACAGTTGCACGTGGTATAGTCGTAAGATGGGCCGTGGCATGATAGGCCAGATGACATCATCACAGGTGGTGTGGAAGGATGTGACAGGCACAGTGAGGAGTTCCTTATGTGGTGATAGGCGGACCCCTGAATGCCTACAGGGCCCCATCCCAAGATAATAACATAGAAAGTAGTTAGCCTGCGATTGGGAACTCCTCTTAACTGGTGGACTTACCAGATGGGATGATCTGTACTGACCTGAAGTGGACGTTTGGTGTCTGCTGGAAGGAATTAGGTGGCCCATAAGAGCTGCGACCACTCACAGTATGTTTTGAGCTTTCATAGACCCTTTGTACATGTTTGGTAGAAAGCCAAACGGAAAGCAGCTTTAATTAAATATGTTACCATTTTCATTAATTCTTAAACCTAGCCCTCCTTCGAGGCCTGATGTAGTTACGATGGAGACAGACAGACGTCGTGGTGCCATTGCTCATCTCTGCCACGCCACAGTTGCTGTTCTCATGGTCTGTGCAGTGAGAACTCTTCCTCTTGGGCCATGTCTTAGCTGCTTACTAGGAAACCAGTGAACTGAGTCAGGTCTAACCATGTCATCCAAACAAGCGCTTGCCCTGCTTACTGCATTTTTTTGTTGTCAGAAGTAGGGGTTTATTTCTTACTGGTCCCAGTTCCCCAAGGATGTCATATGAGGAGCAAGAATACAACATAAAAAAAAAATAACAAAACCAGAAACTACTATTTTTGTGGTCAGCAGTTGCTAATTAGCATTATTACTGTCTTTAAAAACAATTAGTAAAGTAACCTTTTATTTTATTGTTACAGAAGCAGTACATATGCATTGTAGAAAATTCAGACTAGAAAAAGAAAAGTATCCCATTTCCACAATCACTACTCTTTACACTAGGTGTCTTATTTTCTCTCTGTGAACGTGGGTATACACACAAACATACAGATATAAATTGTATATAAATGGTAATGGTTTACCACCAGTTGGTAATCCTTGCCAGAATCAGAAATGTTATTCCTTCCACGCTTAGCTGGTTTCATCTAGAAAGCAGCACTTTCCTGTATCAGCTGGAGCTAGTTAATTATGTCGAATTCCAATTTGGAATTCAGGATAGATGGCTAATTCCACCTCTCCTTAATTGCCATGTTTCAAAGTAAGAAGTTATTTTATAGCTACTACAAATAGTGACCAATGAAGAAAGCATTCCTGTCTTTTTTTCTGACAGTAGCATGGATGTATGGATTTACATTGATTTCATAATGTGTTTTGTTTTTTTTTTCTTTGTGCTTAAAGTTATCACCTTTTGGAAGCCCATTCAAGCTGAGTCTTCTACCTCATTAATATTTGAAACCTCTCTTGCTCTTAAATAGTGCTAAGTCTTTCATCTCTGTCAGTACTGTATCAGCTTAATCTTTCTCTTCATTATGGGTCATATTTTCCTTGCTTCTTTTCATGTCTGATAAATTATGAGTGGATGTCAGACATTGCAATTTTCACCTTGCTATATGCTGGATATTTTTGCATTCCCATAAACATTTTTGAGCCTTGTTCTGGGATGCACCTAAGTTACTTTGAAATAATCTGATTATTTCAGGTTTTATTTTTAAGCCCAGAGCAACATTTAGCTTAGGGATATTTTTGCCCCTTTCCTGAAACAAATCCTTTGTAGTATTGTACCCGATGCCCCGTGAATCATGAAGTTTTCCATCTAGGCTGGTGGGAATAGCCCTGTGTGAGGGGTTGCACTCTTGATTCACTCTTGATTCTTCCGTGTGTGTCTTTCCCTGACCTTGGGTAGACCCCTCACGTGATGGGCTGATCAGTGCAGATCTGCAGTGTCCTCTGCAGTCTCCAGAGCTCTCTCTCTGCGTCTCTGTCTTCCCCAGACTCTGTATCCTCCCACCACAGAGACCGCCGAGCTTTGTGTGGGTTTTCCATGCCTGCTCCGTGTCCTGGAGAGTCTCTCCACGCAGTGAATGGGCACTTGTGGGCTTACTCTGTCTGTCTCCCGTATCTCAGGATCACTTCTTCACTGTCTGGTGTCCAGTGATTTGAACACGGTTTCCTATATTTCATCATATTTTTTGTTTTCATTGGGAGCATAAACTGGGTCCCTGTTACTCCATCTTTGTTGTCTGCTTTGCGTATTAACTGATTTTCAACTCCAAGTTTATTTTCATCTCTCAGGTGAGAATAATACCACCGCTTATTTCACAGGAGAGTTGCGCCTGAAAAGGATGCTGTCGTCCACTATATAAATGTTTGTAGTACTGACTTCCCTACAGGACAGTTGTGGAACCGGGATTTGAAGCCTGGAAGCTGGGCTCCAGAATGGTCCTCTTAACACATCTGCTGCAGTTTACCCATCAATTGGCTTCTTGGAAGCGCATCAGTCAGTTACCTCTTCTCACAAGATGCTGTATTGTAGGCCAGTTAGACCCTAAGAGCACACACCGGGAGACATTGTGTTCACAGACCAGCTGGGCTGTTGTGTCATTCACAGCTGCGATTGGTAGGACTCACTGTGGCTCTGTGGTTAGCTTCAAGTTGACCAGGTGGCTTTGCTGATTTTGTCTGGACTCTCTCACATACATGTCTAATGCCTCTGAAAGCAAAAGGTTCAGAATATTAACATTTTTTTTAACTTGGCTATTTCTGTTTTTTCCTCTGGAGTTTGTTTCTCTGGCTGTATGACTTGCATGATACTTAATCCATTCTTTCTGTGCTGCTTATAGTTATTTTTAGGGTTTCATTAATACTGTATCATGATGCCAAACAACAGACTTTAGAAAATATAATGCATTGAAGATAACCCATTGCTACACAGTTGGGGCTTTTTGCATGTAATGTTTGTGAGTGAGTGGCATGCTAGAGTTTTCTGGAGAATTTGGTCCTGCCATGAATGTGCTGGTTTTAGTTAAAAACTTTGACCTGCTTTTTCACTCTTGTTCACTGGGCACCTTTTTTATTTTAAGGTGGATATTTTGGCTCAGATTGGTTGTGTCGAAAGTCTCAGCCAGTCACCACCTTCTTCTCCTTCTCCTTCTCCTTCTTCCATATATAAGGTAAATTTCAAACTTGAACACAAGAGGAAATAAACATTTAATAAACCCTAAAAGTCATCTTTTTTTCCCAAGTGAAGTGATTATGTCAGGTAAAGTATCTTACAGGAGCTCTTCTTGGGGCATGGTGATGTGGGATGTGGAATATGTAGGAACTGGGAAGATCGTGAGGATTTACACCGTGGAGGCCTCTTAGAGGAGGCTTGATTACTGAATTCATCCCACGGGCAGTGAGATCTAATGAAAGGTCTTTAACTCTGTGGTTGACTGTGAGGAGGAGTGTGGTACCACGGAGAGAGGGAAAAGAAGAGGAGAATGAAGACATTGTCCTGTAAAAATTCAAGAGGAAGGGGAGGTGTAAGGAAAGAAACGAAGAGGCATCTCAGCATTGGAAACCTGAGTGAAGGAGCCGAGGGGATTATTGCATGACCAAATGTCTGCAGTTGAGAGACCAAAGGGGTTGTGGGGATGGAGAACAAAAATGTCAGAGACATCAGGCGCAGTGGCTCACGCCTGTAATCCCAGCACTTTGGGAGGCGGAGGCAGGCAGATTACCTGAGGTCAGGAGTTCGAGACCAGCCTGGCCAACATGGTGAAACCCCATCTCTACTAAAAATACAAAAATTAGCTGGGTGTGGTGGTGCACCCCTGTAATCCTAGCTACTTGGGAGGCTGAGGCAGGAGAATTGCTTAAACCTGGGAGGCAGAGGTTGCAGTGAGCCGAGATCACACCACTGTACTCCAGCCTGGGTGACAGAGCAAGACCCTGTCTCAAAAAAAAAAAAAAAAAAAAAGACACCAAAGGATCCTTCAACCAGATCATTGTAGTCTAGTTTGTTACAGTAAAGCTTAGGTTTTGAAAAAAGTCAAGATCTCAGCATTTAGCAACAGAAAATATTTGTGCTGAAAGTCCCAAGAATTAGGAGTTGCTGTTGTTGACCTTTACAGTAAAAATATTTCTGTCTTCTTCCTCTTTTATGTATCTGAAGGTAACAGAACGTTGGCTGGAATAGAAAATATCTTAAGCCTGTTATCTCTTCAATTAAAAGTCTCTATTAATATGACCTGGCTGTGCAGCTATTTGTAAATATAACTGTCTGGTCTTTTCCTGCATAGCATAAGCTAATAGGTATGTTACTTAGATGGGGATTTACTCAAAGAAATGCTAGTCTTTATTCTTTTCTTTATATTTTAGATGAGCCCTCACATATTAAGATAACCTCTACTGAATGCATACTGTGGGCTAGATGCTTTGTATGCATTATGTCATTTAATCCTTACAGGAGGATAATGTTATAGCCATTGTATAAGTGTGGGGACTAAGAGAGCTAAGTAAATTACCCAAGGCCACACAGCTAGTGGTAAGTGATAAAGCTGGGATTCAAACCCAGATAGCAGGCTTTGAGCCTAAGTTCTTAACCACTATCCCCATGTGGTATAATGATTACTTGAGTCAATTCCAATAGCTTCCTAAAGGGAGTTAAACTCCACCTAGTGTACCAGGATTCGTCTTGCCCCTTTTTATCCCATATTGTATATTTGTACCATGTGCAGCTTTCCTACACTCACCACACAGCACCACCATGGGTGTGCGTGTCCGTCTCCCCCACCCCTCGTGGCCATTCTCAGTCTGTTCTGTGGTCCAGTGGCTCTGCAGTCAGGTACAAGCCAGTCTACTTTCTGAAGAAATTTAGCTAATGCTGTAAATCCTTTGAGTGAATGTGTTTAAATAAGTCTCCCAATGTCAAGCCTGCATAAATATATTTCTCTATTTGCATTATGAGGAGAGGATAGCTTTTAAATTTAGAACGTTAAACCAGCAAATTGTTAGTATATTGCTCCTGGGCCTAAAGGGGCATTTGATTTAGCTGGGGTGGGAGTTAGGAAGAGAGTCGGACATAATCATCTACCTGTGGTGATTACATAGATTTAAGCGTGTCCCAGAGACCCAACCAGACATGCTGTAGGAGTGTATTCATTCAACAGATACTTAATTTACAAAGCGTTTACCCAGGGCCCCACGTTCACGGGCAGCAGGAGATGGCAGGTTACCCTGATGGACACAGCCCTTCTCTGTGTCCTTCTAATGGAGCTCAGACGAGAGTGATTGTATATGTCGATTTTGTTTGTTGCATTTTCCAATGTTTGTTAAAATTTCAAGCATAGAAGAGTTAAACGAATTTCATAGTGAATAATCATATACCCACCTTCTAGATTTTACCATTCCCATTTTACTGCTCTTGCTTTCTCTCATATTTGCCCATTCCTCCATCTCCTGTGCCTGTCTGTATCATCCACTTTCAGAACTCAGACACTGTTATTTTAAGGGTACTCATAGTGTCACATGCTAAAAATTCTTTTTTCTTTCTCTTTTTTTTTTTTTTTTTTTTTTGAGACAGAGTCTCACTCTGTCACCCAGGCTGGAGTGTAGTGGTGTGAACTCGGCTCACTGCAACCTCCGCCTTCCAGGTTCAAGCGATTCTCCTGCTTCAGCCTCCCAAGTAGCTGGGATTATAGGCTCCTGCCACCACACCCGGCTTTTTGTATTTTTAATAGAGATGGGGTTTCACCATGTTGGCTAGGCTGGTCTCAAACTCCTGACCTCAAGTGATCCTCCTGCCTCAGCCTCCCAAAATGTTGGGATTACAAGTGTGAACCGCTGCGCCTGGCCAAAAATCATTTTTTCTGTAGTCACATGCTGAAAATCACTTATTCTGTGATCGACCACAACAAGTTAATTTTTTCAAAAAGACTCAATTTAGTCTTTTTATACATAAGGCAAAGTCTTAGTATACATAGTCTTAGTATACATAAGGCAAATCTGATTTCCTCCTTTTGGTGATCATGTCATGAAGGTTAGAGGTCTGACAAAGAGTAAGATATATTTCATACAAATGATCAAGAACATCACATTTAAAATATTTGAGTCCTTGCCACTTTATGCAAGGCATTTGGAGAATCTTTTGGGGGAAACATTCTCCGGGTAAGACAGAGCTGTCCCCGTGATTCACTGGTGGGACTGACCATCTGATTTGCAAATAATGAAGAAAGTGAAAGGAGGCGGCTGGATGTCAGCCAGCAGGCTGTGGGAAGGCCAGAGCCCTTCTGATGGGGTAGGGCTTTGCTAAATTGAGGAAGATGAGGTGTGCAGATAAGAGTACAGTATAGTGTGAGGAACAGCAGAGATGTAGAAAAGTTTGGGGAAATGTGTGAAGTTTGAAGCTTCAGAGTGAAGGTTAGTGGCAGGTAGGGAGAATGGGGAATGCAGCACGAGGCAAAGTTGAGACCTGTGCTGAAGAAACTCCTGATTGAGCCACAGGAAGCTTGGAGGTGACTCTAGGGGCAGTGAGTGCTAATGAAGGGATTTTAATTACCCATGATGGACAGTTAAGAGCTTTGCAAAATAAGGAGTGGGAAGAGAAAGAGGATGAAGATGCTGCTCAGTAGAAAGGAAGAGGAGGGAAAGGTGGAAGGAAAGGACAGAGAGGCGCCACAGGATGGAAACCTCAGCCCAGGAGCTGAATAGGTTTTACCGTGACGAGGTGTCTGTAGTTAGGGAACTACCAAGGGGATTTGGGAGTTGAGAGTGAAGAAGGCAGAGATCGACGTATGGGAAGGATGGGTTCAGAGAGAAAGCCAGTGATTGGTTACAGTTAAGAGGGGAAGGGACCTGCCAGGGCAGTAAAAGGCCATCTGCTGAGGGACTGAGTCCGAGGGCCGTGACGGAAGCTGCAGGAAAGATCTCCAGTTGGTAGGGTTTTGAGAAATGTGTTATCAGCAGGAGTTGGGTTGAAACAAGATAAAGAGAGCGTTCCAGGAAAAAAAAAAACAAAACCAAAGAGATAGAAACAAACATAACCACAAAGATTTCATAACTTAGGTGGAGAGCTAAGATCACATACATAACCAACTAGTATGACAGTTACTACACACCTACAAATTATTGACCAAGTGATTTTCAAAGAACAATTATTTGTTTTTGCCCTAATTAAATGGATTTTAATTTTTTGAGGACACTTGCTATGAATAGTTCACCTCCAGGTTTTTCCTCCATCTTGATGAAAATCCTTCCTGGCCAGTTTGCTAAGACTGAACTGTCTTCTGGAAGGCCCCAGCGAACATTCACTCTCCTGTTCTAGCTCACAGTCCTGTGTTCCTTTGTGATGTACCTCACTTAGCTTCTGGCAGTCTTCTGAATCCAGACCACTCACTTCTGAACTCTAGCCCGAGGTTACACAGCGGAAGAGAGGTAGAGCTGTTAACGGAATTCCAACTCACTAGGCTCTTGACTGTGGCCCTCCGAGCCCCTCCATTTCACAGCCGGTCCTTGATGGAAACCAGGCTGAGGCTGCTGTACCAATGATAGTCTGTCCCTAGTGTCCCAAACTTTGGTACTTTTTCAAGTTCTTATTTGAAAAAACTTGTAACTTAGAGTTTGGAGGACACGGAATATATTGCTAAATAGGAGAATAAAACTACATTTCCTTAAAGAAAACTGTAGAAGGAAGGGTTTCTCTTAGCTGAAGTGTGACTGCCAGGCCCTCAGCATGATTGCCTTCATTTCCAGCGTCCACTGGGGTCATCTGAGAGTCCATCCCGAAGCCGAATGTCACCTTGTAAAGCTGTGTGTTTGAGAAGTCACAGTCTTGTGGATGAAACATCTTTCTCCTGTTAGTATTTGACATAGAGTAAAATAACAAGTAACTTCAGTTTTTTCCTTAGAGGTATATAGGGCAGTAGAATGACATCATACTTGCACATCAAAAGCATGTAGTCTGTTTTTGATGCACCTGGCACGTGACAGCCAGCTGTCTGCCCCATGTGTCGGTTGGTGAAGAGTCAAAACAGACCAGCCACTAGGGTGTCTGTCCTACAACATTAGGGGCTATATTAGACAGGGTGGGTAATTTTCTTGCAATTATATTTTTTTCTTTTTTTAACTAGCACCATTTGTGTGTGTGTGTGTGTGTGTGTGTATAAGACTCAAATAAAGGGGAAGACTTGCTATTTCATGTTATGAAATAGATTCAGTACTGAAATATTGTGGAGTGAAAGGCATGAATAATTTTAATCAATTTTCTATGAATTCAGTAAACAGTGATTCAAATGAAAATCAGTATTTTAACTCAACATTCTAATGTGAAAGTTCAGATTGTTTTAGTTTAAATATTAAGCTGATGCTAAAGTTTATACATAAAAATAAACAGCTAAGAGATGTTATGCTAAAGTATTGATGGTTTTTCTATGAAAGTGTGGTACTAGTACAAATAGATCACTAAGAAACAAGAGAGTCCAGCTATAGACCCAAATCTGATATGTGATGAAGGCGGCATTTCAAATCATGGGGGAAAGATGGATTGTTCATGAAATGGTATTAGGGTGACCGACTGAGGACAAGATGTTCAGCTGGATCCCTGTATCATTTCTTTTTCTTTTCGCTTTTCTTTTCTTTTTTTTTTTTTTTTTTTTTGAGACAGAGTCTCTCTGTGTCGCCCAGTCTGGAGTGCAGTGGCGTGATCTCAGCTCATTGCAATCTCCGCCTCCTGGATTCAAGCAATTCTCCTGCCTCAGCCTCCCAAGTAGCTGGGATTACAGGCGCCCACCACTACACCTGACTAATTTTTGTATTTTTAGTAGAGATGGGGTTTCACCGTGTTGGCCAGGCTGATCTCAAACTCCTGACCTCAGGTGATCCTCCCGCCTCGGCCTCCGAAAGTGGTAGGATTATAGGCATGAGCCACTGTGCCCGGCCCCTATATTATTTGTTTTACTTAACTCAGTTCCAGACAGATACAAGATTTAAATGTTAAAAAAAAAAAAAAAAAAAAAGCTAACAAAAAACTGTATTTGCCTCAAGGGTGGGATGGTGGGGGCAGGGCTAATAGGTGCTAAGTGTACTCTCTACTGGAATATTCTTTGAGATTGGGTGCCATCTATTTCCCATTCCAAAAGTTTATTTGTAAGATTAATAATTAAACTATTAAATTACTCAAAGGAATTATGGGAGAGAAATACTTTTTAAAAAGAAGTATGAAAGTCCCTTTCTATGTAAGACAAAACCCCTCAGCGTGACAGTTGTCAGAATGTGGGAATGTTATTGCATTCTCTTTCAAAAGCAATTTGACAAAATCCATCGGTTCTAAATACACAGTCTCCTTAAGCCTAGCATTTTTTCTTCTGGAAATTTCAGAGACCTTTTGGATTGCAGTTTTCATCTAAAGAACCACCAGGATGGCTGATTAATAGAAAGGAGAGGTTTATAGGCAGTAACATTTTACAGACTGGGAAGAGACCTTCTCTGGTGTGTGCTGAAGATGAAGGGACACATTGGGTTTTATGCCTCACAGGGCCTGTATCACACTAGAGTCACATATATTTAGGAGTTTGGGGGCAAAGCGATACGTATGTATGAGAGGAGTCAAGAGCATGTGCAGTAGGTAAACATATGTAACATCCATCCTTGTTGACTTTGAGGTGAGATTTTAGCATTAAAATGAGGTGGAATTGGGCTCTTTATGTGAAAAGGTGAACTGTGGGACACAGTTTGTGCACAGCCTCAGCGAGCTGCTGAAACTGGCTTTAAGGCCTGCAGTTGCTTGTCAGAAGAAAATGTTTCTAAGGCCAGTCCTCTGCCCAGTCAGAGTTGTCTTGGTCTGGGTTGTAAATCAGAGTTAGGAGGGGTCTGATAGGTCCTGTTCTTAGTGAGTTTAGAGCCCTAGTAATTTAAAAAGTTGCTCTATTCCCTTAACCTTAGGATCCATCTTAGTTGATAAAGCAGTGTCTGTTTTGGTCTGTCCGATCACATGGTATTATAGTACCCAAAGACTGAAAACAAGATAAATGAACATCAGCATATACTGGTCAAGTTGTAGGAAATATATACAATGGAATTTTATGGAGACAATGTGAAAGAATATTGTGTCCATATGTGCTGATGTACCTTGCAGAATGTTTTATGCTGTTAAGAGAAAAAAAAAAAGTACCGAGCAAAAATAATACAATTTAGGCCAACTTAGTGTTTAAAAACAAAAAGGATCTATCTCTGTCCATGGGATGTTTGAGTAAGTATATACAAGGAATTTGTTAGTAGCATGAAACAAAAATTATAGTAGGCCATTGTTTCAGAGTTCCTGCACTAGGCCCCAGCAGACCAGGCCAAACCAGAATGGAGTTCCTTGTGCTAGATGCTCCATAGTCAAACTGAAACTTGAAGGAAGCAGATAGGTCCCAAAACAAACTGATTTTTTCTCGAGAACAGGAGATCCCAGTCTACCTGAGTTAGCATAATAAGGAGTCCCCTCTGCTTTAACCCTTACGAAAAAGTAACCTGAAGTAAACTGATGTTAACCATCAACTTTTTTTCTGTTGTTCTATTTCCTTATTAACCCATCCTTAAAAACCAAGTGTTCTGTTAATGCCCAGTGGGAGTGCTCGTTCTAGATTGTAGGAAGGAGGCTGCCCAGATTCATGAATCTCAAGTAAAGGCCAAGTCGATCTGTAACTGAATTTGTTGTAATTTTGTGTCTTTTGACAGTAGTAGTTCCTTAGAATGACTAGCATCTCAGGATGTTAGGCGTATTTCTCAAATTGCATATACTTTTATTGTTTGAATTTTTTTTATTATACATGTATTCCATTTCAAATTAAAAAGCCTACTTAAAAATACAACAGATCGCTATAAAGCAGTTAGAAATAGGTCCTCATGTTGAGTGGGAAAAAGAAAACTTGCAAAGAGATACATACAGTATGACATCCTTTAGGTCAATTTTAAAAATATAAAGCAGTTGTTTGTGAATGTGTACATGTGCAGCTGAAGTATGAAAACACACATAGGAATGGATACAGGTTCAGAAAAGTAGTGGTTACTTCTGGAGAGAAAGAAAGAGAGGGCTGTAGCTGCATCTAATAGTTTCTTTGTTGCTGTTTTCAAAGTTCCTAAGCAAATACGGTAAAATGTGTTCACATCAGTAAAATTAGATTGATGCTACCTTTTGTGCTTTCCTACATGTTTGGAAATTAAAATATTATGTATGTAAAATTGTTTTGAATACATTTCTATTAATTGTTTTTAGTACTCCTGTTGTATTCAATTGTGTCAGTTCATTATTGAATTGAGTCATGGTTTCCAAAAGTCACAAAAATTCTCCTTCTTTTTACCCCTCTCAATAGGTTGGCAGTGGCAATGACCCCTGGTCAGCCTGGAGTGCCTCCAAATCTGGGAACTGGGAAAGCTCAGAAGGCTGGGGGGCCCAGCCAGAGGGGGCTGGAGCCCAAAGAAACACAAACACTCCCAACAACTGGGACACTGCCTTCGGCCACCCCCAGGCCTACCAAGGACCAGGTGAGGAGAGGGGTGCAAGGTCCCACCCTGCCCGCCCATGGCTGAGTGGGAGAGACAGGGAAGACCGAACTGTTTTTGCTGTTCCCACACTCAGCACAACACAGAACAGTTTTGTGACCACAGCATGGGAAGGGAGGATTGCCCCACCCACCAAGCAGCTGTGCAGCAGACACCAGCTGAGTGTCCTACAGTCATGACACTGTCTACCTGGAGTCAGATCAAGGGGGTTCCCACCACTCCCACCTTGGGTTCAATTAATCTGCTGGAGCGGCTCACAGAACTCAGGGAAACACTTTACTTACTACTGTCAGTTTATTACAAAGCTCAATTTACAGGATGCAAATAAAGAGCCAGATGAAGAGATGCATAGGGCGAGGCATGGGGAAGGGACGCAGAGCTTCCATGCCCCCCTGCCCCAGGTGCCCCTACATGTTCAGCACCCCAGAATCTCTTTTCCTGTAGCTCAAGGATTTTTACGGCGGTTTCATCACATAGGCATGATCGATTATTGTTATTATTATTCTTTGAGACAGAGTTTTGCTCTCGTTGCCCAGGCTGGAGTGCAGTGGCACAATCTCGGCTCACTGCAACCTCCGCCTCCCAGGTTCAAGTGATTCTCTCACCTCAGCCTCCTGAGTAGCTGGAATTACAGGAGCCCACCGCCCACCGCCACACCCGGCTGATTTTTTGTATTTTTATTAGAGGCAAGGTTTCACCATGTTGGCCAGGCTGGTCTCAAACTCCTGACCTCAGGTGATCCACCTGCCTCAGCCTCCCAAAGTGCTGGGATTACAGGTGTGAGCCACCATGCCTGGCCGGCATGATTGATTATTAACTCAACCTCTGGCCCCACTTTTCTTTCCAGAGAATGGGAGGTGGAGCTGGAAGTTCCAAGCTTCTAATCCTGGCTTGGTCCTTCTGTTGACCAGCCCCCATCCCACCAGGAGTCACCTCATTTGAACAAAAGATGCTCCTACCACCCGGGAAATTCCAAGGGTTAGGAGATCTGTGTCAGGAGCCAGGGTCAGAGACCAAATATCAGAACAAAAGATACACCTTGCACACCTAACATTCAGGAAGTTACAAGAGTTTTAGGAGCTCTGTGCCGGGAACTAGGGACGCAGACCAGATGGCTATTTCTTACCTCACAATACCACTCTGGGTCATTGAGTTGAAAATAGATTTTATTCAAAAGAACTGCTTGCAGTTGCCCTTATTCACTAGTAGCAAACCTGGATTCAATTGTAGATGGTCATTAACTCTAACTTTAGTTCAGTCTTACTTATCTGTGTGAAGTCACAGATTCAAACGCTGGGTTGGTAAAGTAAAAGCAGAATGGGCGGTGGAGGCTGCAGAAGGCTGAGGGCCCCTGCTGTCGCCCGTGGATCACTGCATTTGCAGGGAAGCTGAGCCCACGTTCTGATCTCCACATCTTCAGAGAGATGAGAAGTCTTGGTTATTTGTCACCTTCTGATTTTAACATCTCAGCAGCTAACACGTTTGTTTTAAAATCTTGAGCCAGAAACGTGTATGTGGATGGGATGTGGCTCATCCTGCTGGTTTAAGACCTCTGCATTCACTGTTTTAACTTCCTGTTTGACTAGGCTATGAATAGAAATACTGAGGCAGAAGAGAAATGTGTGGAATGGGAAATAATTTGGGAATTAAGGGTATTTATGTCTGATCTGAAATTAAATAAGAAGGTAGTCTCCCATTATTTTTTAACAATTCCTGAACCCTGTCTCCTCTGTAAGCACATTGGGCCAAGAATTGAATGTCTGTTCTAAACAGCAAGGACCTCACTTGTAAGCCCAAAGCAGGGTGCAGGTCCCGGCTGAAGGCTGGCAGTCATAGACAGGAGCTGCCTGTCAGCAGGACCAGGGGTGTGGGCTGGGTAGAAGCGTTGGGAGACTCCTGGGGTCTGGCTCTCTGGTCACTTGGCCCACATCCTTCTCATAGTTTGTTCTTCTCCCATTTGGCATTTGTCTCTCGGCTTCTCCATAATGGCACTCTTAGGACCTGACACTAAAGGACACTCAGGCCGTTAGAGTAGGGGAGGAAGGAGAAGGAGGAGAGCCCACAGGGGAGGAAGGAGAAGGAGGAGAGCCCACAGGGGAGGAAGGAGAAGGAGGAGAGCCCACAGCACCTTATCTGACACGGGGATTATTGTCAGAATAGTAGCTACTGATGCTGCTTAATTACTTCTTCACTCTCATCTTTTTCTCCCACACCCCAACTCGGTCTTTTTAATGTCCCCCTCGTTGCCCTTCTCTCCCCTTTATTGTTAGTGTTAAACAGCTGCTTTTCAAAGTTCTGTCGTCCCTTTCGTCCTCCCCAAGCCTCTAGAATTAAAGGGTATTCTGCTTATTTGTAAATGTATAAGACTAGATTTATCAGTGTCTAGGCCTCTAGAAGTCTTTTCTACTGTGTACCACTTAACATTCTTACAGTCTGCATTTATCTGAAGTGATGTGGACTGACAGCCCTTTAAAAAAATTATCTATATTTTCACGCCTGTAATCCCAGCAGTTTGGGAGGCCGAGGCAGGCGGATCACAAGGTCAGGAGATCAAGGCCATCCTGGCTAACACGGTGAAACCCCATCTCTACTAAAAATAGAAAAAAAATTAGCCGGGTGTGGTGGCAGGCGCCTGTAGTCCCAGCTACTCGGGAAGCTGAGGCAGGAGAATGGCCTGAACCCAGGAGGCGGAGCTTGCAGGGAGCCAAGATTGCGCCACTGCACTCCAGCCTGGCCAACAAAGCGAGGCTCCGTCTCAAAAAAAAAATTATCTATATTTGAGGTATACAGCGTGATGTTGTAATATACATGTATATACTGAAATCATTACTACAGCCAAGCGCTTAACATATCCCTCACCTCACATGATTACCTAAGTGTGTGTGTGTGCGCGTGTATATGTGCAAGTGCGTGCCTGTGGGTGTGTGTGTGGTAAGAGCACCTAAAATCTCCCTCAGCAGGTTTCCCAAATATAATGCAATATCATTAACTGTAGTCCTCATGCTGTACATGAGATCTCTAGACTTATCCTACATGACTGCAACTTTGTACCTTTGACCTGCATCTCCCTAGTTCCCCGTCTCCCTGCCCCTGGTAACCACCTTTCTACTTTCTGCTTCTATAAGTTTTTTAGATTTTTTTAAAGACCTGTTAAAAGTTCCACATGTAAATAAGATCCATGTGGTATTTTTCTTTGTGTGTGATGTTGAGTGCATTTTCATATACCTCTTGGCCATTTTTTGGTCTTCTTTGGAAAAATGTCAATTTGGGTCCTTTGTCCATTTTTTAATTGAGCTTTTTTTATTTGCTATTGAATTGTGCGAGTTCATTATATGTTTTGAATATTAACAGGTTATCAGATACATGGCTCGCAAATATTTTCTCCCAGCCTATTGCGGGATCTGGCCAGCAGCCCGCAATGCAACGGGGTTCTCTTTGTGTTCCCAGGCGGATCGGCCCGTTGAGAAATAATAGACACACACAAGATAGCGAAAGCTGGGTCCGGGGGGGTCACTGCCTTCTGGTCCTGCAGTGCCAACAATGCACTGGATATACCAGCATTTATTATTAAGTTTAGTGAGGGCGGGGGTAGGTTAGTGAGGGATTTAGGGTCATTTGATTATGAGGTGAGATGGTCACATGGGGATGAAGTAATTCTTTAACATAACATCTGTATGCAGAAGTACAGTATACAGAGATAAGAATTTACAATATAGTGTATGCATCAGTAATTTCTGACAGAGCCTTAAAACAGAAACACAGTCTTTCCATAACCTATGATTAGCAAGATATTAATCAGCAGTAACAGTTGCAGCAAAAGCTGGTTACAAACAATCCGTAGAAACAGGACGTGAAGCTAGACAACCTGTTAGACCAGAAATTCTCAGAAGGGAGTATGCCTTAACCCTAAAGAGGCCCAGAAGAGCCCTGGCAAGATGAGGGCGTTTATAGCCCTATCTTATCCATATGGACGGTGCCCCCATGTGTCTGTTTATAGGCTCTTTACAAGGGTCACTTTCCATTCCCAGAGCTATGAATATCTGCTTTTCTGGGATAGGAATCTTGGTGATGTGAAACCTCCCTGACTGCACATCCATTCATAGGCTCTCTGCAGGGGGAAGCACATCACATGCTGTTGGCTCATTCTGGCAGTCCCACCTGGCACTGTCTTTACACAATCCTGCATGCAATTTTGTATTTACAATAATCAGGAGCATTTCATCTTTTATTCCATAGCAATAGTTTCAGGGGGTCTCCCTACACCAGCCCATAGGCTACCTTTTCATTTTGATTGTTTCCTTTGCTGTTCAGAAGCTTTTTAGTTCCATGTAGTCCCGCCTGTTATTTTTGACTTTGTTCCCTGTGCTTTTGGTGTAATACTCAAAAAAACATTTGCCAAGGCCAGCGCCAAGGAGCTTTTCCCCTGTGTTTCCTTCTAGGAGTTGTGTGGTTTCAGGTCTTCCATTTAGGTCTGTAATCTATTTTAAGTTGATTTTTGTGTGTGGTGTAAGACAAGGTCCAGTTTTATTCTTTTGCATGTAGATACCTGGTTTTCCCAGCACGACTTACTAAAGAGACTGCCCTTTCTCCACTGTGTCATCTCGGTGCCCGTGTCAAAAATTTAAAAGTAATCTGATAGCCCTCTTTAAGTTGCTTCTGATTTGTCTTTTGCACTAAAAGAATCTGTAATTCAAGGCTTAAAATTGACTACACAGCCTTTACTCTTAACATCCATATTATACTCCTATACTATACCCTTTTCTCCATCAAAAAAAAATTGATTTGCCCAGTAGGTAGTTACTGTCAGAAAATTAAGTAATTTCATTTTTATTTTGGTCTTTTTTTTTTTTTTAACTGATGATCTTCCATTTTCACCTCTAGCAACTGGTGATGATGATGACTGGGATGAAGACTGGGATGGGCCCAAATCCTCTTCCTACTTTAAGGATTCAGAGTCAGCTGATGCAGGCGGCGCTCAGCGAGGAAACAGTCGTGCTAGTTCCTCATCCATGAAAATTCCCCTTAACAAGTAAGTTTAAAGGGGAGCCAGGGAACCAGGGCCGTGGTAGAAGTATACATTAATACAAAGTATATACCCTACCAAGAGGCAGCTGGCCTTTTCCCTTTCCAGTGATCTCCTAAGTTTTGGATATGATTCAGTTATTTTTATTTGGATCTTAACTGAGAAGCTTACTTAAAAAAAAAAAAGGATTTTTGATTTACAAGGTTAATAAGTGAAATATTTATTTTATTTAATGATTTCCCAAACTGTTTTCATTACTTCTAGCTTTATCAATTTATGACATATTAAGGTTTCATTGCTAATGTCACAGGAAAGCTAAAAAGAATAATAATAACAACTCTCTTTTAAATGTTTTACTGTTTTGTTAATCACTTGCCATGTGCCAGGCATTGTGCAGAGAGGTTTGTATCATTCGCATGTAGCCCTCATATCCCTTTGTGGTACATAAAACCCCTGTTTTACTGCAGGCAAACTGATGCCCAGAGAGACGCATCGAGTGTTCCAGTCAGGAAGCCAGGCCCTCAGGCGCCAAAGCACGTGTTTCAGCTCCTGTGCCTAAAAACGTGGTCCGGAGCTTTGTGTTAGCTTAGGTTTCTCTTAGATTTAAAACAAAAAAAAAAGTGTTGTGTTTTATTTTTTTGTTTTGAGACAGGCGTCTCGCTCTGTCACCCAGGCTGAAGTGCAGTGGTGCGATCTTGGTTCACTGCAACCCCAACGTCCCGGGTTCAAGCAATTCTCGTGCCTCAGCCACCTGAGTAGCTGGGATTACAAACATGTGCCACCGCGCCCAGCTAATTTTTGTATTTTTAGTAGAGACGAGGTTTTACCACGTTGGCCAGGCTGGTCTCAAGCTCCTGGTCTCAAGTGATCCGCCCGCCTCTACCTCCCAAAGTGCTGGGATTACAGGCTTGAGCCACCACACCTAGCCAAAAAAAAAAAGTTTTTAACAGTACTTGTAGATACCCTACTTAACAGGAAAGCATGTGGGCACCAGTGACCACTGTAGGATTCTTTGGAGAGACCTAAATAAGGCTGTAGTCTATGCCAGTGTAGCTTGAAGGAGATATATTAGTAATTTATGACTTCCATCAGAATTTTCAAGTACTCCTTCCAGCAGTTATGTTTAGTTTATTTTTTGAAATTACTAATACTTTTTCCCAATATTCCAATTCCATGATTCAAGGCAGATATCAAAGAATGTTAATCTGTGTCTGGAAAAATTAAAAACATAACATTTGACATATATTTAGACATCAAGATCTAGGTCTAGATCTAGTTTAATAAGTCCTACAAGTTCTCCAAAGTATATTTAAATAGCTTCAGTGATTAAATGAGTTCTCTTTTGACTGCACACTTTTGCTGCCTCTTACCCAGTTTCTTCCATTATATATTTTCCTGCTCAATTGCATGCATAATAAAGTGAATAATTCTCTGTCTTGTTAGTCAACTGTGTCTTGTTTCAGAGTCAAATTTGAAGTTTTCAGTCATGGTCAGTAGTGATGTGCATCATTGTCAGCTGTTCTTTAAATGTGAATATAAAGTATATTGAAAATTCATATAAATTAGCCCCATTTTGAAAACGAAGGAAGCAGAGACTGAGAAAAATGAGTGGCCACGTTTTCATGGCTGATGAGTGAGGTTCCAGCTCATGCCTGGGGGTCTCTGACTCTGGTTTTTGGTGCTCTCCTCTGCTCCACACTTGCTCTCTGATTTGCTTATAACCTTAAGGCAAGTTTCGTGACCTGTTGGAACCTCAGTTTCTTCATCTCGAAAGCAAGGAGGTTGGCTTTAAGAATTCTTTCTGCTCTAAAATATCATTCCAGGCTGAAACCACATTAAAGCAGTCCTAACTTGAACCTGTGCCTCTGAGGCATCTCTGTCTCTCTGTAGTGCTGTGAACGATTTAACACCCTGTGTATTTGTATTTAACTAAACTGTATAAATGAGTCACTTAAACTTAAAACAATTATAAAAAATGTTTTTAAGTATTAACACTTTTTCAGCAATTAATCCATTTTATATGACAGCTGTATTCTAGTCATGGAACATAAATCTTATACTAGAAAAAGAGATCTGAAATTAAATATACTTGAGCACTATAAGAATTCACCTTGGGCCAGGTGCAGTGCCTCATGTCTGTAATCCTAGCACTTTGGGAGGCCGAGGCAGGCAGATCACGAGGTCAGGAATTCGAGACCAGCCTGGCCAACATGGTGAAACCTCAATCTGTACCAAAAATATAAAAAAGTAGCTGGGCGTGGTGGCACGCCTGTAATCCTAGCTACTTGGAAGGCTCAGGCAGGAGAATCGCTTGAACCCGGGAGACGGAGGTTGCAGTGAGCCGAGATGGCACCACTGCACTCCAGCTTGGGCGACACAGAGACTCTGTCTCCAAAAAAAAAATAAAAGGCATCTTGATGATGCTGAAATAATTAATACATTGCTGTCCTCAAATTTTTCTGTGGTCCATAACAGTGCCCAAAAATTGAAATGCTTACAAGCTGGTCAAGGAGTTGTCATGATATATAATCCCCACAGAAGCGCACCTGTAGTCCCAGCTACTTGGGAGACTGAGGCAGGATAATCGCTTGAACCAGGAGGTGGAGGTTACAGTGAGCCGAGATCGCGCCACTGTACTCCAGCCTGGCGACAGAGTGAGACTCTGTCTCAAAAAAATAAATAAAATAGAGTAATTAATAAATAAAAGTGTTGCAGGTTAGCCTAATTCATTAAGCATTCAGTATGCTCCCAAAACTCCTCCAGGTCCTGAAAACACAAATGCTTCCTCTAAGTCCCTCTGGCTGCTGTAATAGGTAAATGGATAGCGGCAGTCAGGTGTGATGAATAGAATCACAAAATATGCTCAAAATGCCTAGGAAGACTCTACCTGCGGCTGCAGGGAGTACTTCCAAAGAGAGGATGACTTAGTTGCCAATGACTGAAATGTACTGAGTACATACTAGGTTCTTTACATAAATCTTTAATTCCCTTATCACCTTAGAAGGTAGGTCATTCTGGTCTCATTCTTCCACAAGGAGATTTCAGCCCCTAAGGCTACCTAAGTGTTGGAGTCAGAATTCAAACCCCATGCCATCCAGCTGCAGGACACATCTGGTCTCTTGTGTAAGCTGCGTTTTAAAGGAATGTCTAGAGAAAGGAGACTCAAGGGAAGTCAGCTGAGAATGCAGGAAAAGAAGACACGGGCCCCTGAGAGCATCACACTGGCCTTTGGCTTGGCACATGAATGAAAGTAGAAGCAATGCGACTGGAACTTCGTAGAAATAAGATTCCTTTTCCCATTGTAGATATTTTGCTTCCTTTTCTTCTGTTTACTAAAAGAAAAATTCTAAAACCCAAATTAATCTTGTCTTTTTCAGTAGCCCTTTGGATGGCTATGTTCTAGCTGTCCTCTAATTTCAGAAATGTCCTTTGGATATAGATGTGATTTCTGGAAGTAGTCAAGTTTATTTAAGTTTTTGAGTCTTAAGTGACCTCCCCCCCACCCCCTCCCCATAGCCAAATTTATTGATTACACTTTGGGTCTCTACTAAAGAGACTTGTTTTCCGCTGTCATGAACTGCTTCTGAAGGCAATTCCAAAAGAAACAAGCACATATGCTGATGAGCAGGACAGCCCCTTTGGGACAGTTGTGGCCTCTGGAGAGAGCCTGTTGAAAGGCAACTTTAATTTGGATGTAGAAATGCCAGCATGTGGCTATTGCCCCCTGTGGCCAACTCAGATTGGCGTGCTCACTACTCACTGCCCCAGGGAACTAGGGGGGCGTTTTTTCAGGTCTGCCCTTCACTCTGGGGTGACCGAATGTTTCAGACACAGTCAAGCAAATAGAGTGCCCGTAAACATCACACCTTCTGGAGTCAAACTGTTCTGTTTACCAGATCAAGCTTAATTAAATGCCTAATTGGCCATTGAACAATCTGATTACATTAGGTTTCATTTACCACAGTTTCCAGTTCTAGTGCACCCGAAAGACAGGACAAGGTTAAAACTGGTAAGTAAATGTAGACGAGAGTTGTAAAATTCTTACAAGGAAAGTCTTAAGACTGATGAACATTTATATTCATGATTAGATTTCCTGGATTTGCGAAACCTGGCACGGAACAGTATTTGTTGGCCAAACAACTAGCAAAACCCAAAGAGAAAATTCCCATCATTGTAAGTTTGTTTATTTTTGTTTGCTTTCTTTCTGATTAAGCTCTTTCTTATACCGTACTTTAAAGCTAAGCGAGTTATTCATCTTTTGGAAAGTATTTTTAAATATATTTAATGCCCCACATAACTGATAATATATGTTAGTGTTGTAGGAGTACTGAAGATAATTAACACAAATTAATGCCTGTCATTATATTGTTTATTCTTTATCTTTCAGACTTTTAGTATTGAACAAATATACTATTTTGATCATTTTTTTCTAAAGTGTCTTGAAGTGTATTTTACATAGTTTTTCTGCCAGCCCTATATGTTTAACTGATGAACTCAATTCAAATATTTATGTTTCTTCCCTTGTAAAGTACATGTATGTTATCAGAATAAGGTACCCTTTCAGATATATGGGTAATAGTGTTTTTGGTAATAGTGTTTTTTCCAGTAAACCAGCTGTCAAATTGAGATAAGGAGCTACCAAATGGAAGCTGGGAGTTAAAGACATCATTGAGAATATCTGTCTTAGAATTACTTGGTTATTGCATAATGTGACACAAGCCCTTCGGTTTCATTCCACATTTTGATTGGTGGTAGATTTTCTGTCTAGGTGATATTTAGTTGTAGATTCCCAAATGAAATTCTGGAAAAGAGAACTGTAGCTATCTTCTGATCCTATTGACTTAACCCTGTAACAATTAGATTGGGAACCTGAAGCCTTGAGTGTTCTCATCCTGGACTCAATCGAGGATGAGGAAACATCTGGTCTTATTCTGTAGTCTTTGGAAACTTGATAAAATTGCAGGAATAGTATTAGATTCTCTAATTACTTGTGCCTGCATGTTTGAAAAACTCCAAATCCTGGAAGCCTCCAAGCTGAAGAGCTGTAACCAAGAGCCCTTTTTATGCTTTTTCCCTCAAAGCAAATTTGGGATAATTAACTTCTGAGTAGTTATATTAAAGATTTTTTTTTCCTGTTTTCTCTGGACTTAATAAAAATTGAACATGTACCATTATTCTTTTCATGACATTTAAAACTCCTCAAAATCAAGAGCGCACAGCTCTGCCTCAGTTTTGTTTTTTTGTTTGTTTGTTTGTTTTTAAGACAGAGTCTCACTCTGTCACCCAGGCTGGAGTGCAGTGGTGTGATCTTGGCTCACTGCAACCTCTGCCTCCCGGGTTCAAGCAATTCTCCTGCCTCAGCCTCCCGAGTAGCTGGGATTACAGGCATGCACCACCACGCCTAGCTAATTTTTTTTGTATTTTATAGTAGAGACGGGGTTTCACCATATTGGCCAGGCTGGTCTTGAACTCCTGACCTTGTGATCCGCCCACATTGGCCTCCCAAAGTGCTGGGATTACAGGTATGAGCCACTGCGCCCGGCCTGCCTCACATTCTTAAAGGGGACTTTGTCCCAGGTTTGCAGTGGTGGTACAGAGCTAAGGGTTCCAGCCTTTCATTGACCGGCAAGTTTTAAGTAGAACTGCACCCATGCACCCAGTAGGCAGGTCTGCCTGTGTGGGCGTCTATACATGGAAGAAGCTGAGGAAAGCCACCGCGTCTTCAGGAGGCCCAGAGAAAGCAGAGACTAACTCTTTGCTCTAAAAGTGCAGTAACCTTGCCCACTCATGAAACAGAGCCCCGTGAAATTGGGCCTTAGCCAAGCACAGTTGCTGCTCTCGGCCCACTCACTGAGGGAGGTCCCGAAAGTCATCTCCTCTGCAGCTTTCAGCTAGTTTCTTGGATCTGGGCTCTCCCTGAGGGGGTTATAGTAATTGTTCTCAGAGATTTTAGTCTCTTTTTAAACTACTCTTATCCTTGGAGTAGGTCACCTTCCTGACCTAACAGCCTCTGAACTTTAATATCCCAATCCGCTTTTCCCATCTTCCTCTTAAAAAAAAAAATTAGGACTGGGTATACCTTTTTTTCCTTTTTATGTCTGTCTGGCCTTGCCTCTCTGAGGTCTCAGCCGAAACAAATCTCTCTTCCTTCAGCGCAATCTGTGTGATTTTTCTCATTTTCTTTTTACTTTCTTATGGTACTTTTTCAAGTCTGCAAGAATAAAACCTGTTCCATAAATTATTTCATTCTCCTTGAATCTCTGAATGAATCTCTGAGTGAATCTGCTTCCTGAATAGTGGTCCTTTTACAGTCCATGTGTTTGTTTTTTCATTCTCTTCTTGGATTATAACTCAATTATTTTTCATTTTCAAGCCAAGAAGATAGATAACATTCTCAGTATAATAAGGACTTCTATTGCTCTGAAATGTGTTTTGATAAGAGCTACTGTCCTGCAGTCTGAACCTCTAGAATCTGTCATTGTGATCAAAGTTTATGAAATGAATGAGGCAGAACCAACTTGAGACTATTGGTGACTCAGGTAGTGATTCCAGAAGCCTGTACATGAGCTCCAGCATCCAGGTTCCTCTGCAGCTGCCCCCATGGCCTTGGATGCTGTTTTAAATAAGATGAAAAAACCAGGTTTGGGACAGCAGACCTATTGTCACCTAGCAGTGCCTAGAAGAAATGATCCTCAGGCTCAAAACTTACACGAGGTCTCTACACCCCCACATAGAATTTAGCTGGTTTCCCTTCCTCACCTCCCACCACAACTAAAACCCCAGTGAGCTAGTGTAAGCCTCGCCTGAATTTGTGAACTTTTGCCCTAGTCACAGATAGAAGAGAAGGCCAGTGAGAAAAGAATGGAGGCCTACCCTCTTCAGGCAAGCCTTGCCCAGGTGGACGTGATACCCGGGGGTTGGAAGTGAGCCAGCCCACTGTGCTTAGGCACATAGCAGTCCACGGAAGAAAACAGCTAGCCTGGTTCTTGCTTTTAAGATGTAGTACCTCCCCCTCCCCCCACCTTGCCACTAGTAGTAAAACAATGACTATCAGGCTCTGGCCAATCTGATTAATCGTTTCTATGAGCCAGAACAATGCTACTCAAAGTATGGTCCACAGACCACTTGCCCATCTGAAAACTGCTTGTTCCTGATCCACCGTGAGATAGGTACAGTACATGAGAATATTTTGAAAACTTGAGGACAATTTGGTATTGTTGAAAAATCAAAATGTGTAATGTTATATTTCACCAAACTATTAGTCTGTGATAGATTCGAAATTTTTAAAAACTAGTCCTTCATCACGTGTAGCTTGAGACAGCTAGACTAGAAAGAAACATTGTCTTGTAACCAGCACTGTCCTTGGGAGAGGGAAGCTGGTGTCTCCTCTCCATGGGCTGAGCTACTCACGTGGGAGCAGAAGGGTTTCCCACAGGTGTGTTCTTTAAACATAATATCTAACAGGAACAGAAACCATTGAACCATTTATGTACCTTTCAAAGAGGAACAAGAATGACCCTCCAAAGGACTTCTCATTCTGAAAAGAATTACTTGCTGATTCACATCAATTGTATTTATTATTTTTCCATGTAACAAAATTACTTCTTTCTGGAACATTGGCATAGGTTGGAGATTATGGCCCAATGTGGGTTTATCCTACCTCTACTTTTGACTGTGTGGTAGCAGATCCCAGGAAAGGCTCCAAAATGTATGGTCTAAAGAGCTACATCGAATATCAGCTAACACCTACTGTAAGTATCCACGTTATCAAAAGCAGAATCATGTTTGGATCACTGATTGCAGCTTGCTTTTTTCTTCATTTTCTAGAGTTGGCATTGGTAACCTTTTCTCTTTCCCTTATTTTGTAGAACACTAATCGATCTGTAAACCACAGGTATAAGCACTTTGACTGGTTATATGAGCGTCTCCTGGTTAAGTTTGGGTCAGCCATTCCAATCCCTTCTCTTCCAGACAAACAAGTCACAGGTGAGTGTGTGTAATGCTAAACCCAGGATGACAAATAGAAAGACTCCAGTCAGATTATCTTCCTGTAAGTCAGTGATGGCATTTTCCATCCTGTAGAGCAGCAGGATGCAGGAGTTGGAAACAGTAATTAAATACAGCTATGAAGAGAGAACCATTGCATGTTGTACATCTATCTGGAAGTTGCCTAAACGTCTCACAAGAACGTTTAATGTGCAAATCACAGGTTTTGGTATGTGTCTGGAATTCCAGCAGTCATTGTCTTCATTGCTGTACCTTTTCTACAAAAGAAATGTGTACATTTAAAATATGTGAAAAATGACACCTGAAAAAATAGAAATAATTCAAATAGCCTAAAATGGAAATAAAAATGTATGACCCACATGATGCAAACAGGTTATGCAGATGAGCTGCATTATTTCATTAGATGAGTGAGCACTGGACAGAGAAGCCACAGAACTACTAAGTGTTAATGAAGGAAGAAGCTGCCAGGTTTTCTACTTATTTTGATTATTACCCTCTCCCTTTTCTTGTTTTTTAAAAGTGCCATTTTCTATTTATTTTGATTATTACCCTCTCCCTTCTCTTGTTTTTTAAGTGCCACATTCCCTCCCCTCCCCCAGCCCCAAGAATCTTTTGGTAAGTAACCCATAGTGTTACTAGAGCACCTTGTAAGTATGCAGGGCACCTTGTAAGTATGCAGGTAGAAAGGGTTTGTTTTTGTGTCAGGGAATTGTTTTTGTTTTTAATCTCCAGCCTAGGGTAGACTCTGCTACTCTATGTAGTCACTGAGGGACTCAGCATGTGTGTGTTAAAATAAAGGTTGTGTGCCAGGTGCAGTGGCATCCCAGCACTTTGGGAGGCCGAGGCGGGCGGATCACGAGGTCAGGAGATCGAGACCATCCAGGCTAACACGGTGTAACCCTGTCTCTACTAAAAAATTAGCCCGGTGTGGTGGTGTGCACCTGTAGTCTCAGCTCCTAGGGAGGCTGAGGCAGGAGAATGGCATGAACCCGGGAGGCAGAGGTTGCGGTGAGCCGAGATTGCGCCACCGCACTCCAGCCCAGGCGACAGAGCGAGACTCTGTCTCAAATAAATAAATAAATAAATAAATAAATAAATGTTGTGAAGAAACAGACTTAAAGGTTAGACAGAGTTTTAGTATATTGCTAGAAAATGTTCACATACATGAACTAGTGAAAATAGAAAGGAGTGGATTGTGAGAGGAGGTCTTCAAAGGTCAGAGCCAGAGAGGCCTGTAAGAGATGTAAAAGAGACACTGAGATGCTCACCTGAACCTAGGGAGAAGAAACATGGAGGGCTGAAGGAAGGGTTCTTTCCCCAAAGGTCAGGGAAGACAAGAGGCGGTGGAATTCTCACTGCACTCGCAAGAGTCGAGAGAAACAGTTCAGGGAGGGCCTGCGACCCTTCACAGCCAGGTGGCAGTGCCAGATGGAAACATGTCAGCACTGCCGTGGAGTTTGTCCCACGTGTTCCTGGACACTTCCCGAGTGCCTCTCATCTGTCCTCACAGATAGGCATTTTCATCTTCACTTTATAGATGAGGAAACGGAAATCCACAGACATTAAACAGGTTCCCCTCTCTATTGCTGAAAAAGGAATTCGAATCTGATCCCATAGCTTACTCTGTTTCTGTTAAGATGTGGACTGACTAATCTTTCCCTAGAATTAGTATTCATACAATGAGTAAATTATTCTCCTTAAAACATTACTTTATATTTTACTTTGTTTTATGTTTATTTTTCCCTGAAGTGTTTTGTGGAGATGGAAACTTTTGTTTTAAAAGAAGTTTTGATTTTGATTTTTTTGGAACACATTTCAAAAATTTCAAATTGTCATAGCAAAATTGAAAATGGGGCTGCACTACTGGGTAGATAAACACATCTCCCCAGTCCCCTGGGTGACACTTGAGTGGTCCCTCGTGGTGCTGGGGCGGTGGAGTGACAGCCAGATGGCCGTGGGCTGCTGCTGCCTTCTGCCCAGAGGCACTGACCGAACCCCTGCTTCTAACCCAGTTCAGACACTCCCTGTACCTCAACCCGGTTCAGACACTCCCTGTACCTCCTTTTTGTCATCCTTATTGCTTTCAATCACAGTTTTCTCTTAAAAAATACAGATTTCTTTCCATGAAAACTTCAGTTCTGCCATATAAAATTATAGTCTATTTCCTTGAATTTTGTGCTCTCCTTTATCAACTTGGTTAGCACAGTGTGTGCTCCACAGTGTTTAAATCCATGGCTTAATGGCCTATTTCAGGCTTGTAAGAAATTCTCATATCTTTTAGATTTTAATACATTGTTTATTCTGAATCAGATAATTCAGTGCTCTTTTAAAGCTTCAGAGAGTCACGGTTCTCCTTCCATACTAAGATTTGTTTAAAAAAAAATAAGTTCGGCATGCAGCCAGGGAGGAGAAAGTCATAGAAAAGCAAGAAAGCAGCAGCCCCTCGGTGTGAAGAAAGTTGAGCTTTGATTCACTAACTGGGATATGAGCCAAGGAAGCCGAACAGCACAGAAGGGCTCTATTTCCCCCTCACTTGTGTGCCTCCTGCCTGGGATGCCCACAGATCATTATTATGTAAGAATTCCCCTCTCGCTCAACTACTGGAGAAAAGAAAAAGGAATGCTTAGTAGGTGATGCTATGACATTCCTGTGGACTCGATAATTCATGAAAAAATGTACAGTTAACATTTCTTTATTTGTTTAGAGATTTTTGTTTTTTATGGAAATAATATTGAATGAATATAGTTTTATTCCTGGTACCAAACTGACATATTCATATACTTAGTGAAAACCTTAGTAAGGTTCATGGAAAACAGGGAAATAAAAGTTCCTCTTTTTTTCTAATTATTTGCAACTTGGTCTGAAAATTCTACCAAGCATAAAATAACATCTGAAGTCATAAGCTTAGAGATAAACCAGCTATGTCAGAAAAATTTTCACAAGAATAATTTTTGAATAAAATAAGGATCACTAAATTTCAACCAATGATAGGATAATGAACTCTGGGTACAACTCACCTAGCCATAATGGGGAGTTCATCGTATCCCAGGTCCAGACTGGCTTTCCGGCCAGGAGGTGAATTGTCTTTTTTCCAAGGCACAAGGCTTTGTTTCTGCTTAATCTACTGCTAGTAAATGCAAAGTTTGCAATGCTTTAGTACAATGATGGTGTCTAGACTCATTGTTCTGTTCAAGTCCACTTTTTAGGTAATAAAAGTTTTTTGATATGTAGGTGCATAATACTATCTATCTATATTTTATTTATTTATTTATTTATTTATTTTTGGAGACGGTCTCACTCTGCCACCCAGCCTGGAGTGCAGTGGCACAATCATAGCTCACTGCAGCCTTGACCTCTTGGACTCAAGTGATCCTCCCACGTAGCTGGGATTATAGGTGCACGCCACCATTGCCTGGCTTATACTCATAATTTCTAAAGGAAAGTTCAGGTTTCATTTTTTAAATTTTATTTTTAAACTTAGGTACAGTAAATTCACTCTTTTTGGTGTACAGTTCTGAGTTTTGACAGCTACCACTGCAGTCCTGCAACCACCACTACATTTCATGATACAGAACAGCTCCGTCACCTCCCCAGGTTCCCTCGTGCTGCCCATCCCCCTGGTCCTAACCATGGCAACAGCTGATGTGTTCTTTGTGTTCATAATTCTGCGTTTTCTAGGATGTCATTATAAATGGAAGCATGCAGTGTATAGTCTTTCGAGTCTGACTGCTTTCATTTAGCATAACACATTTGCAATTCAATCATTTTGTTGTGTCAATAGTTTGTTCTTTTCGTGGCCAATAGTATTCCAGTGTTTAGATATACCATAGCTTGTTTATCCATTCACTCATTGAAAGACATTTGGGTTTCCAGCTTTTGGCAATTATGAATAAAGCTGCCGTAAACATTTGCATACAGGTTTTTGTATGAATGTAAGTTTTCATTCCTCTTGGGTAAATAAGAGTAAAATGACTGGGTCATTTGGCAAGTATATATTTAATGTTTAAGAAATTGCCCAACTGTTTTTCAAAGAAGCTATACCATTTTGGAATCCTCACCAGCAATATATGAGAGTATCAGTAGTAGTTCCACATCCCTACCTGCACTTGATAGTGTCAGTTTTTCCTCATTTTAACCAGTCCGATAGGTATGCAGTGGTATCTCAGCATGGTTTTGATTTGCATTTCCTGATGGCGAGTGGGGTTGAGCATCTCTTCATGTGCTTATTTCCCATCTGTAGATCTTTGGTGCTGAAGCTTCTGTTCAGCTCTTGTGCTCATTTTTTATCAGTCTGTTTTCTTATTGTTGAATCCTGAGATTTTTAAAATATATATATGTATTTTCTAGAAACAAGTTCTTTGTTAGATAAGTGATTTGCAAATAACTTGTCGCAGCTGTGGCTTGGCTTGTCATTTTCTTTTTCTTTTTTTTTTTTTTTTTTTTTTTGGAGACAGGGTCTCACTGTCGTCGCCCAGGCTGGAGTGCAGTGGCACCATCTCAGCTCACTACAACCTTGACCTCCCGGGCTCAAGCAGTCTTCCAGCCTCAGCCTCCTGAGTAGCTGGGACTACAGGCTCTCATCAACACTTCTTGTTAATTTTTTGTATTTTTGGTAGAGACAGGATTTCACCCTGTTGCCTAGGCTGGTCTCGAAGTCCTGAGCTCAAGCGGTCCACCCACTTCGGCCTCCCAAAGTGTTGGGATTAGAGGCATGAGCTACCACACTAGCCTTGTTACTTTCTTAACAGTGTCTTTTGCATAACAAAGGCTTTTAATTTTAATGAAGTTCACTATATCAGTTTTTTCTTTCATGGACTGTGCTTGAGGTGTCATGGCTAAGAGCAGTTCACAACATTTTCTTCTAAAGGTTTTAGGCTTTTCGTTTAGATCTTTGATGCATTTTGAGGTTATTTTTGTATAAGGTGTGCAGTGTGGTAGAAGTAGTGCATTTTTTTTTCACATCGGGATATCCAGTGGGTCTCACACCATCTTTTGGAAAGACAGATCTGTTTTCCATTTATTAGAAACATGTTTGTAAGAGAAAAAAAATCAGTTGATTGTATTTGTTGGTTTATTTCTGGATTCTATTCTGCTCCATTGATTTATGTGTCCATCCTTTTCGCTAGTCCTACACTGTCTTGACTTGTGTAGCTTTATGGTAAGTCTTTAAATCAAGTAGCGTGAATCCTCCAACTTGGTTCCTTTACAAAATTGTTTTGGCTATTCTTTTTCTTTTGCCTTTCCTAGTAAATTTAAATGTCAGTTTGTAGATATTTATAATCATGCTGGAATTTTTATTGAAACCGCATTGATTCTGTAGATCAATTTTCACATCTTGATATCTCATCTTTTAATCCATATATAAAAATATATCGTATTTGATTTTCATTAGGGTTTTGTAGTCTTCAACATACAGATTCTGCATATATTTTGTTAGATTTATGTGTAAGAATTTCAGGCCAGGCGCGGTGGCTCATGCCTGTAATCTCAGCACTTTGGTAGGCCAAGGTGGGTGGATCACCTGAGGTCAGGAGTTTGAAACCAACCTGGCCAACATGGCAAAACCCCATCTCTACTAAAAAAAAAAAAAAAAAATATATATATATATATACACACACACACACAAAAATTAGCCAGGCGTGGTGGCACACACCTGTAGTCCCAGCTACTCAGGAGGCTGAGTCAGGAGAGTCACTTGAATCCAGGAGGCGGAGGTTGCCGTGAGCCAAGATTGCACCACTGCACTCCAGTCTGGGCGACAGAGTTAGACTCTGTCAAAAAAAAAAAAAAGATTTATATGTAAGAATTTCATTGGAGAGTTGTATTGTAAATGGTACTGTTTTTTAAATTTCCATTTTCTAGTTATGTATTGCATATAGAGATCGCTTGATTTTTGTATATCCACCTTTTATCTGTGGCCTTGCTAAACTCACTCAATAGTTCCAGGAGCTTTTTTGTGGGTATGGATTCTTTGGTTTTTTTGTCTTTTCTTTTTTTTTTTTGTTTGAGACGGAGTCTCGCTCTGTCGCCCAGGCTGGAGTGCAGTGGCGCTATCTCGGCTTACTGCAAGCTCCACCTCCTGGGTTCACACCATTTTCGTGCCTCAGCCTCCCGAGTAGCTGGGACTACAGGCACCCGCCACCACGCCCTGCTAATTTTTTATATTTTTAGTAGAGATGGGGTTTCACTGTGTTAGCCAGGATGGTCTCGATCTCCTGACCTCATGATTCACCCGCCTCGGCCTCCCAAAGTGCTGGGATTACAGGCGTGAGCCACCGTGCCCGGCCCTCTTTTCTTTTTTAATGTAGACAATCATGTCAGCTTGGAATAGAGAGTTTTATTTCATCTTTTCCAATCCATGGGCCTTCTACTTCTGTTTCTGCCTTATTGCACTTGCTAGGACTTCCTGTATGCTCTTGAGTAGAAATAGTGAGAGCAATCATCTTTGGCTTATTCCTGATCTTAGGGACAAAGCATTCAGTCTTTCACCATTAACTATGATGTTAGCTGTAGGTTTTTTGTTAGATGTGCTTTTATCAAGTTAAGGAATTTCTCTTCTATTTCTAGGTTGTTGAAAGTTTTTGTTCATGAATAGATGCTGGATTTTGTCCCATGTATTTTGTGTACTCATCGAGTGATTGTATGGCTTTTCTTCTGCTATTAATACAGCAAATCACACTGATCAGCTTTCCATTGCTGAACCAGCCTTACATGCCTGGAATAAACCTCACTCGATGGTGATAGATTATTCTTATATATTGCTGGATTAAATTTGCTAATAATATCTGGTTGAGGATTTGGTTCACGATGGTTATTGGTCTATAGTTTTCTTGTAATTTGTTTGGTTTTAGTATCAGGGCAATGCTAGTCTCATAGGATGAGTTTGGAACTATTCCCTCCTTGTTTATATTCTGGAAGAGATTATATAGAATTGATACTGTTCTATAAGTGTTTGATAGAACTCACCACTGAAATCATCTGGACCTGGAGTGTTCTTTGTGGGGAGGCTTTAACTATGAATTTAATTTCCTTCATAGCTATAGGACTATTCAGGCTGAGCTTTGGTAGCTTGGGTCTTTAAGGGAGTCGATTTATTTCATAGAAGTTGTTAGGTATAGTTTTAGAGTTGCTCATAGTATTTCTTTGTACCTTTAAAGATGTTAGGTCTACTCCTTCATTTCTGATTTTGATCATTGTCACCTCTCTTTTTTTCTTTGGTTTTATGTATTTTTATTTTTCTCTTTTCTATTATATTGTTTCTGCTCTTTTATCATTTCTATCGCTTGGTTTGGGTTTGATTTATTCTTTTTCTAGTTTCTTAAATATAGAAACTTAGATTATTGTTTTGAGATATTTCCGCTATCACAGGCATTAAATGCTAAAAACTTTCCTCTAAGCATGCTTTTGCTGCATTCTATAAAGTCTACCTTATTGAGTTTTCATGTTCATTCAGGTCAAAACATTTTCTAATTTTTCTCATAAGTTCTTATTTGATCCATGGGTTATTTAGAAATATACCTATATCTCAGTATCTATGGGAATTGGTTCCAGAACCTCCCACAGATACCAAAATCCATTGATGCTCAAGTCCCTGATATAAAATGGTATAGTATTTGCATATAACCTATGCACATTCTCCCGTATATTTTAAATCATCTCTAGATTAATTATAATACCTAATACAATGTAAATGCTATGTAAATCATTGTTATACTGTATTGTTTTGAGAATAATAACAAGGAAAAAAGTCCATACATATTCATTACAGAAAAAAATTTTTTCCCTCAAATATTTGCAATCTAAGGTTGGTTGAATCCATGGGTGCAGAGACCGTGGATACAGAGAACCAACTCTATGTTTAATTTCCAACTATCTGGCCATTTCCTGAATTTTTTTCTTTTGACCTCCAGTTTTATTATGTTCAGAGAACATACTTTGCATGATTTTTAGTCCTCTTACATTTATTGAGACTTATTTTATGGCCTAGCATATGGTCTGTCATAGGGAATATTCCATGTGTGCTTCAAAAGAATATGTGTCTGTAGCAGCTGGGTGGAGTGTTTCATTCATGTCAGTTAGGCTGGGTTGATAGTGTTATTCAGGTTTCTATATCCTTGCCAATTTTCTTTCTAGTTCTATCAATTATTGAGTATCGGGTATTGAAATTTAACATTATGATTAGTGGACTATCTCTCCTTTTAATTCTGTCACTTTGTTTTATGTATTTTGAGTCTCTCTTGTTAGGTAGACATACAGTTTGTAATTTTAATATCTTCCTGATGTAGTGACCTCTTATATCATGAGGTGTCCCCCATTGTCTCTAGTAAGATTTCCTGTGTTAAAGTGTACTTGTCTAATATTAATATAGCCACTCCATTTCTGTTATGGTTACTGTTTGTATGGTATATCTTTTCCCATCCGTTTACTTTCAGTATATGTGTGCCTTTGAAATCAAGCTGTTTCTCTTATAGGCAAGATAGTTGGATCTTACTTTTTTATCAAGTCTGACAATCTCTGCTTTTGATTGGGGTTTTTAGGCCATTTGTATTTAATATAATTATTGACATGGTTAGATTCACATTTGCCATTTTGTTATTTGTTTTCTGTGTTTGCTTCTTTTTCCTCCTTTACTGCCTTTTCTTTGTGTTAAATATTTTACGGTGTATTGTTTTAATTCCTCTCATTGTTTAAGCTAAATTTTTGAAGTTATTTTCATAGTGGTTGCCCTAAGGGATATAATATGCATCTTTTTTAACATCACAGTGCACTTTAGATTAATATTAATTCCAGTAAAATAAAGAAATTTTTCTCCTATATAGCTTTATTCCCTTCCCTCATTTATGCCATTATTTTTATATATATTACATCTGTATGTTATGAATCCAACAATACATTGTGGTAATTACTGCTTTCTACAGTCTTTTGTCTTTTAAAGACACTAAGGAAACAAATTAGAAAAAAATATATCTATAGAATCTTTTACATTAATCCTTATATTTCCGGTGCTGCTTATTTGTCTCTGCAGATTCAAGTCACCATCTTTAGTAATTTCTTTTTAGCCTGAAGGACTTCCTTTAATACTTCTTATAATGCAGGTCTGTTATCAGTGAATTATCTCATTATTTATCTGGGTATGTCTTTATTTTTAGAGGATAGTCGTACCGATCTGGCTCCATTGTGTCAGAAAGCAAGTCAGCTGTTAATGCTGTTTATCTCACGTGCCCACTCTACTATGCATGATCAGTCATTCAGATATTTTTTGTCTCACTCTCTCTTCTTCCTCTGGGATTCTCATTACAAGTGTTTGGTGTGCTTGATGTATTCTAATATTTTACGTTTAAGTTTTTTTTCTCTGTGTTCTTCATGTTAGTTAACTTCTGTTGATCTATCTTCAAATTCACTAGGTGTTTTTTTTCTTCTGCTACCTTAAATCTTATGTTGAGCCTTATCTGCAGTGAATTTTTTATTTCAATTACTATACTTTCAACTCCAGAATTTCCATGTGATTCTTTTTTGGTAACTTCTCTCTCCTTTTTGAAACTCTGTGTGTTGATTCTCTGTCATATTTTTCTTTAATTTTTTAGGCTTCCTTTAGTTCTTTGAAAATCCTTATAGAATCTGCTTTATCTGCCACATTGTTTTTTTCTGCCAAATTCAACATCTGCGGACACTCAGAGATAGTGTCTATTGACTGTTTGTTTTTTTCTCAGTATGGTTCATATCTTGCTATTTCTTTGCGTATCTCTTAATTTTTTGTTGAAAACTGGACATTTTTGAGAATATATTTTAGCAACTCCAGATTCTGAGTTTACCTCTCTGAAGGTTGTTGTTTCTGCTTTTTATTTGTTAAGTAACTTGCCTAAGATTAAATCTCTGAAGTCTGTCTCCCTGGAAGTTCAGTTATTGCTGTTTGTTTGTTTGTTTGTTTGTTTGTTTTATATTTGTCTTCCTAGAGTTTGCTCCTGTGTCTGTGGATTGGTAGTAAGCCTTTGATTGACTGACAGAGGTTGTACCCAACCACCTCAGGCCAGTAAGTTGGGGCTCCTGTCCTCTGTCAATGTAACTGTAACTCGATGTAACTCATTCAAAGCTCAGGTCATTTTTAAGTTGCCCTGGCTTTTACTTTCTACCAGACCCTTTTGTGTCTCCTTTACTTGTATGTACAGCCTCAGAGTTGACCAGGATTGTGTGCCTGGCTTGGACCCTCTCTGGTCTCCAATGTGTATGCATACAGCCTCAGCCTGGAATATGCATGGTTCAACCTTGGCTATCAGGGCTGTTGTCCCTTCCTGTTCATCTGTCTCTGAGATTGTCACTGCCACTGACACCACCATTGAACATGGCATCTCCCATCACTCCAAGCGAGCCTTCTACCCTCACGGAGAAGCTGCAGCTGCCCATCTTCACAGCCTGTCCACCCTAGTGGTACCACCATGTCGAACACGTGGGGTGGGTGGCACACAGGCAGCAGATGCGGGGGAGACAGGAGCAGCCTCCCACCACCACAGATTTCCACCATCGTCGCCTGAAGTTCAGTTCTTCAAGCATAAACACTTCTCAGGTGGCCATTCGCCTTTTGTTGATTTCTAGAGCACTCATTTGGTTGTTTTTATTACTGTTGTCTAGCTTTATAGTTGCTTTTGAGGGGTAGGGTTAGCTGATCTCTCCAGGCCATAGCTGGAACTTCTACCACTAGAAGGCTTTCAACTAATAGTAGTTTTTGTTTGTAGGTTTATAAACATTCTTAGTGTTCACTTGATGTTTGTTATGCTATTCTTGTCAAGCTGACTTTCTACTTTTAAAACAGAAAGGACCACTCATTAAACTGTTTTAGTAGAGTCACAAGTTCCAGAATAGCAACTTCCATTATTGCATTAGTGGAAAAATTCCTTTGGTATTTCAGTTTAAGTAATTTAAAATACCTGGAGGAAAAAAGCTATAGCCTTGGGTTACTCTTCATAATGCTAAATTTAAACTTGTATAGATGTAATTTATATTGCATTTGGACACATTTTGATAATATGGAAATACCATGTCGTTTGTAAGAATGACATTAAATTCCACTCATCACTCCTTTCTTGCTTATAGGACTTCATGTGGCCACACAGAAACTGGCCTGTTAGCTTATAGGAAAGAGACAGGTTTTCATGTTGAGATAAGATTTAATTTTTTTTTAGTACTTTAAGGATACTTGAAGAAAGTAGCACCTTGAGGTTGTCATTATTCTTGTCACAATATGTGAATATGTTAAATTGGAATTATGTTCTTAAAAACTGAAGTCTGTTGCATCTTACCTGTGGGCCTTTGAGCATTCGTTGTGTTGCTTGTTTTTTAGATTAGTTAAAAATCTCCATGGTTTACCTTTTGCTAAATAGCTTTCTACCCAATAGCCAGTAGACATAGAAATGGTTTTTCAGTTACAGTATGGTAACAGTCATTCATTTTAGACAAAGTTGTATGTCATTCTTGGTGTGTCGCTTGCAGGCCGCTTTGAAGAGGAATTTATCAAAATGCGCATGGAGAGACTTCAGGCCTGGATGACCAGGATGTGTCGCCATCCAGTAATCTCAGAAAGTGAAGTTTTCCAGCAGTTCCTAAATTTCCGAGATGAGAAGGTAGGACATTGTGTTAATATGGCATCAGAGAATATTGAGAGTTGTCTCATTCACACCAAACTTATTTCTGAAAGGAGTTAAAATTATGTTGGTTAGTTATTTCTCACTTCCTCCAGTGACAGTGAGGGGACAGAAACCTAAATCCCCACCATAGGAAATTTGTCATGATGTGTGAAGAACTGCCTGCCAGAAGGGCTTCCCCCTACACTGGGAGTGGGTTGGCTCAAGATGGGCAGGGGCAGGGTGAGGGATGTAATAGGGTCAGCAGTTTTTCCCTAGATGTTTTTAAAAATAGGAGGATAGGCCCCAAACTCTGAAGGTATTATCAGCATGAAGTGAGGGGAGTGGAGTGACTGATTTTCCCGATCACGTTGCCCTTACAATGTAACAGCATGATGGCAGGAAAGGGAGAGGCAGACATGAGCCGCTCTTCTCAGAGCCAGGCCATTTTCATCACTGTAATGGTGAGTCCAGAGTCAGTGCTGGCCTCTCTCTCTGCCTGCCCCTGTGGCCTGTAGTCTGCCAGTGGTCATCTGTTCTTCATTAAAATCAAGGAAACGTTGGCTGCCTGACATCTCAAAAGTGTCTGCTTTGGAAATAGTTTTCTCTCTCAGTAAGCATTTACTGTACTCCTTATTGTATCATTTTATTCTCTAAAGATGTTTCCTCCACAATTTCTCTCAACAAATACTGCATCTCTCAGCACCCTAAAGAATAAAAGCAGGAGTTGGCCCAGAAGCCACAGCAGATGCTAAATACATTATCAGCCTGGGAAATAAATTATGAAGCTATTTTTGTCTTTAATGAAATAATAGAATATCATATACCCTCTTGGAACTTCGAGAGGTTTACTTGCTAAACTTCTTTGTAGTAATTTTCACTTGTTGAAGTGAACACATAGTAAGTCTTAAATATTAGGGCTCTATCGGTGTATGTTTACAGGTGTATGCATACACTTAACATACATATTTGGGCCTTATTTTCAGTTATTGACTATTTCTAGAATTGACCAGCTCATGTGATATGTTATATGTCACCAGATTGGGAATTAGACAACATGGAGATGCTTCACCATGTCTTTGTGAATTTGTGTATATCACAGGTCTCCTCACCATGTCTTATGAATTTGTATATGTTTATGGTGAGATAGGGTACTCAGTCACACTGTGTGTCATGTAGCTATATAGTAGTGAAACTAAGTTCTTTGAATTCAGTAAATATTTGGGTTACTTTGTAGTTACAGAAACTACAGGGAACCACCTCCAAGTTTGTTGCCTTCCTGGTTCCCACAAGACTTTAACAAGAGCTTATTTGATAGATTTTCCAAGGATTTGATTTAGAAAGCATTTCTGAAGGTCATGTTTTCTGCATGGTGGAGTTAATAAATCCTAGACATCAGTTGTGTTGGTTTTTTTAAATGCCACCTTCAAAGAGGGATCAACGTGTCATAAAAGTGGTATAAGAGAAAAAAGAAAGAACTTGGAGTCAGGGCCCTTGAGTTCTGGTCTTAGTGCCACTTCTAGCTGCCTCTGTGGTCTTAGTGAAGGTATTTAATCCCTTTGGGCCAGAATTTCCTCACTTGCTAAATGACACTGTAGAACTACATAGAAACTATGATTCTGTGGTAAGTAGCAGCTCGTGTAAATAAATGGTAGACACAGAAACCCCCAAAGAATCTGCAGAGACATTATTAGAAATAAGTGGTTAGTAAGGTAGCTGGATACAAGACATTGCATATTTATCAGCAAAAACAGAAATTGAAAATCTAAAAAAAAAATAACCTGTCATTTACAGTAACATCAAAAGTATCAAATATCCAGGAATAAATACAAGAAAATGTACAAAAGATCTACATAGAAAACTATGAAACATTATTGAGAAAAATAATAGAAGACCTAAATAAATTTTCTAATACTGCGTCTCATGGACTGGAAACAATAAAGATGTCATATGTAGAAAATCAAAATGCCAAGCATAGCCAGGATGCTCTTGGAAAATAATGAAATAGGAGGAGGACTTTATTGCGTATCAGAACTCATTGTGAAGCTAAAAAAGTTTAAAAGCATGGCATTGGCATAAGGCTAGACAAACCAACCAGTAGAGCAGAGTAGACACTTGATCTATGACAAAGATGGCACTGGGCGTAGTAGGCAAAGGATAGTCTTTTCAGTAATTGGTGCTGGGTCAGTTGGATGGCAAAATGCAGGGAAATGAAATGTGCTCGCTACCTCACTACAATCTGCAGTTGATTTTATTAAGGTTGTTATTGATATTGTTATGTTTTTAAAACATGTCCCAGGCTGGGTGTGGCGGATCACTTGAGGTCAAGAGTTCGAGACCAGCCAGGCCAATATGGCGAAACCCTGTCTCTACTAAAAATACAAAAATTCGCCAGGTGTGGTGGCACACACCTGTAATCCCAGCTACTTGGGAGGCTGAAGCAGGAGAATCGTTGGAACCCGGGGGTAAAGGTTGCAGTGAGCCAAGATCATGCCACTGCACTCCAGCCTGGGCAACAGAGCAAAACTCTGTCTCAAATATATATAAATATATATATGTATGTATTATATTTCAAATTAGCTTTAAAGTAAGAAAAAAAAAATCCCAGAGGTAAAATGGAGGAGAATACCTATGAAACAAGATTGGCACCTCCCGGGGAGCAGTGGTGCCTGGGCAGCTTTTCCCTTGGCCACATGTGCTGAAGGTGGAGCTGTGGGTCTCCTGTGGAGTCACAGCAGACAGGCACTTGGAAAGTTTCTTTCACTCTGAGTTTTGGTTGAAAGGAAAGCACCCAAAACTATAGCCAAAGGAGTCATTATACTTCCAGAAAAATCTCAAAAGTATTGCAAGCAACAGTAGTAGCTATTGGATCAGACCTTAAAGGTGGGGGTGGAAAGATTTAACCAGTTAGCTCAGTGAAAGTTAAAGTTTTCCCAGAATATGGAGGCAGCAAAGTAGTTCTAGACAAAGGTCATTTCTTATTTAGAGGTGGTGCCATTCTTGGAAAGTGTGTAAGCCGAAGTAAATCCCTACTGAAATGGCATCACATGCCACCACAGTTCCGAAAGCCTTCATCATGTAAATGACTTCCGTATCTCTTTTACTAAACTAATGATATTTTTAAAAAGATTGGCAAAAGTGTTGGTAATTATCGAAGCTGAACCTGGGGGGTTTATTATACTTTTCTTCTTTTGTATATGTTTGAAAGTTTTCATTGTATATGGTCTTCTTGAAAATGAATTCCATGTGGCTCGCAGATTTAAATGTGAAAAGCAACATAGTAATGCTTACAGAAGATAACGTGGAACATCCTCCTATCCTAGAGAGCAGGGAAGAATTTCTGAAATATGACATGAAAAAGACTATGCAGGAAGATGTGGATAAATTAGACTACATTAGAACTTCTTTTTTCAGCCATGACAAGCGAAAAACAAGCTACTGAGTAGAAGATACTTGCAACATATATAAGCAATGAAGGGCTAGATTTTAGAATATAGGAAAACATCAGTAAGCCCAGTGGAAAAATAGGAGATGTGATCATGTACTTCATAAAATAAGGTATCTGAATCAACAACAGATGTGTAGAAAAGTACCTAATCTCATTAGCAATCAATAAATACACATTAAAACCACAATAAGATGCCACTACACACGTGCCAGAATGGCTAAAACTGACCATACCAAGTGTCATCTTGGTGAGGTGAGATGCTGCTGGGATTCATAACGTGTTGGGGGAAAATGGTAAGACTAATTTGGAAAAGTTTGGCATTTACTGAAGTTGAACCCTCTCATATGACCTGGCATTTCCACTCCTGGATATGTACTGAATAGAAATGCAGGCACACAGACACCAGGAGACATCTACATAACAGCTTCATTCATAACTTGATAAGGGTGGCTACCAGTAGTAGAATAGATAAATAAATTGGGGATTACTCATAAAGTAGAATATTATACAGCAATGAAATGAATGAACTGTAGTTCTACACAAGATTTTGACTGTAGTTCCTAAGCAAGATTGAGCAAAAGAAGCCAGGCACCAAAGAACGCATTTATAGGGCTCTTTGCTAGCTTGAAAAACTAGCAGGACAGGGTAGCATGCATGCGTAGGTGGTAAAACTCTAAACAAAGTGTCTGAGTCCATTTGTGCTGCTGTAACAAAATACCTGAGACTGGATAATTTATATACAACAGAAATTTATTTCTCACAGTTACGGAGGCTGGAAGTCGAAGATCAAGGCACCAGCATTTGCTGTCTGGTGAGGGCTGCATCCTCCAAAGGAGAGAAATGCTGAGTCCCCACATGGTGGAAGGTGGAAGAGCAAAAAGGGACAAACCCCCTCCATCAAGCCCTTTTATCAGGATGCTAATCTCATTCACAAGGGGAGAAGCTCTCATGACCTAATCACTTCTTAAAGGCCCCACCTCTTAATATTATCACATTGGCTATTAAGTTTCAAAACATGAATTTTGGAGGGAACACATTCAAACCATAGCAGAAAAGCAAAGAAATGAAAACCATAAGAGAGAGATTACCGGTTACCTTTGTGGGGAAGGGAAGAGGTAGCAGTGTTTGGGGAAAGGACAATGCGGGGGCTTTTGGAATGGGAGCTCTTTGCTCCTTCCTGGCCTAGTTGGTCGTTAGGCAAGTATTCACTTTGTGACAATTCATTGCACTGGATATTTTTGATTTGGGTACTCTGTGTGTGTATATCTTAATATTTTTAAAAAAATAGCTCATAATACTGGTTTCTGTCTTATATTTTAGAAAAGCATTTACCTTTTTAGAAAACAGATAACCTAAATATTTGAGGCACTAGGTCAGAATGCATAGGGTGGGCCGAGCACAGTGGCTTATGCCTGGAATCCCAGAACTTTTGGAGGCTGAGGTGGGCAGATTGCTTGAGCACAGGAGTTCAAGACCAGCCTGGCTAACACAGTGAAACCCCATCTCTACAAAAAATACAAAAATTAGCCAGGCATGGTGGCATGCGCCTAAAGTCCCAGCTACTTGGGGGCTGAGGTGGGAAGATTGCTTGAACCTGGAAGCTCAAGGATACAGTGAGCTGAGATCATGCCACTGTACTCCAGCCTAGAAGGCAAAGTGAGACTCTGTCTCAAAAAAAAAAAAAAAAAAAAAAAAGTATAGGGTGTTTCTGTTTGCTGTTTTTATATAGGTAGCCATTGGAAAGAGAACATGGCTGAATTGGTTCATTCTTTAAAGATTTGGTCCCATTAGGACCATTCTGTGGAATGACACTGTTCATGCCCTGAGATTACATTCGGAGTATAAAGGTATTTAGTCCATGGTGCAGAGGGAGATAGAGTGGGAGCTGCTTCCTGAAAATTAGAAAGATAAAGGTGATAAATGAGCTGGTCCTGTTTGGGAATTTTGAAGACCAGTTTGACTGTGCTCTCCACTTGAACCTTACAACATTCTCATTTACAGGAATGGAAAACTGGAAAGAGGAAGGCCGAGAGAGATGAGCTGGCGGGAGTCATGATATTTTCCACCATGGAACCAGAGGCACCTGACTTGGACTTAGTAGAAATGTGAGAGACGCTGCCAGGTTTTCTTTCTTCTCAATCCGCACCCTCCTCCTTTGGCCATCAGGCTTCAGCCAGTGTAGCCGCAGCCGAAACTCAAATCAGACTAGACTTTTATGAAATGAGTGGGATTTGTAGTCCAATGACAAGGGAAACATCATTTGTACATAGAAGTACTGTCTTTCTAACCGCAACATCAAATTACAATCTTTCTTTCACCTTGAAGCCAGTGATTTCATAGTTGACACGGTGCTGAGTAGCTGTTTCCAATAGTGTGATGAAACCAAGCGGCATGGAGCCACCTAAAACCCACTCAATATTCAGACAGCAAATCTCTTTGAACATTGCCTTGAGGAAGCAGTCTCTAACCTGCTTTTTCTGTATGCTTTTTTAATCTGTTGATTGATTTTAATCATGTAGTTTTTTAAATGCAGGGTCAGTTGAAACTTTGGAGTAGTTCCTTTTCTCTTACGGACTTAAAAGAAATTTGCGTGGTTTTTAATTTTAAGCTTTTTTTTTTTTTTTTTTTTTTTTTTGAGACGGAGTCTTGCTCTGTCACCCAGGCTGGAGTGCAGTGGCACGATCTCCGCTCACTGCAAGCTCCGCCTCCCAGGTTCACGCCATTCTCCTGCCTCAGCCTCTCGAGTAGCTGGGACTACATAATTTTAAGCTTTGTTATCATAAAATTATTGCGTATGTGTTACCAAAAGTATAGACAAGTAACACACACACACACACACACACATAACCCTTCAACCACGCAGAGAGAAAATCAGTGTTAATATGTTAGTGTTTAGTCTCCCAAATCCTCCTCTGTACGTATGTAATTATAGGAAAGATTGTTTAAACAAAAATGACCTCACACTAGACATTTTGTTTTATAATCTGCTTTTTTCATCTAACAGTATATTGTGATCTTTTCAGGTTGGTAAATACACTTTTGACATCCTTAGAAAGAACTGGTATCTTTAGGATCACTTAGGTGATTGTGTATCCAGGTTATTGTCTCCGTTTCATGGAGTACTTGGAATGAATGGCCAGCTAGCATTAGCAACCCCTGTTATTCTTTTATAGATTTGATGGTCCCCCCAGTGATTGGAATTTTCCTAAATAAGATATTCAAGAAATTATTATTTTATTTACTTTAGAATAATTTTAAAATTCACAAAGAATTGTATAGGCAGAAAGGAAGCGAAGTTAAAATATAAATCAGCGCTTTTTAAGTAGTTCTTTAAATGTCTGCATCAAGCCTGTATTTAAGGCTAACTTAGTGAAAGGGGAGTTGTTATCATGCAAGAAAACAAGTGTCTGTGGTTATATTTGGCCCGAGTATCCCCACAGCAGTGCTGTTTCTCCTGCTTATGTGACTGACGGCCGCCTTCACCCACAGAGAGCAGAAGTGCGAGGCTGTGGGGAAGTTCACCAAGGCCATGGATGACGGCGTGAAGGAGCTGCTGACGGTGGGGCAGGAGCACTGGAAGCGCTGCACGGGCCGTAAGTCCACTCCTCACAGTGCACTGGGCTCGTAGGGGGTGATGCAGGCTCAGTTTTATGTCCCTTATCATAGAGGGGAACCTGCTGCCTCGAACAGAAGTGTATTTGGTGGACGGCAGTAATGTCCCTCCTGTGATTCTGCTTGATCTCACTTCACCTGAGTTAAACCACAGAAAACTGACCAGCAAAGCCAGGTTAAGAAATCTCATAGGGAACACCACGTTCACTTAATTAGTTCCAGTAATTTGGGGCTTTATAATCTTTGGAAAATTAATCATTTTTGCATGTTTTCAGAGTGCTTGTAGTTATTCTTAGTCTCATGATTTTATTTTTTAATCTTCATCCATTTGGTAAGATGTTGTGTATTTGACTAAAACCATAGTGTTTAGAAAAACCAATATAGTTAGTAGTAGAAAATATGTCACAGCAGAAGCACTGCCGAGGGGAGAGTGTCGCTGTCAGTCACGGCTTTCTGACCACTCTGCTGTGTCCCTAAGAACTTCCTGCCTCCCTCCTTCTCCTTTGTTTGTAGGCTTTCATTCTGCTGAAGGTTTTTCCTGTATTTCCTAGAACTGTGCAGCTCTGTCACCACACATGTGGCCCAGGATAGAAAAATAGTCCCGTATCCAGCTGTAGGGCTAATGCCACGGGCTGCTGCCCTGTTACACCCACAGGCTCAGAGGCTGCAGAGTGACTTGTCAGGCCCTGAAATGCTGCGACTGCACTGCTGTCCCATGCGCAGATGCCTTTAACTCCCTTAGAGTCCTAGGACTTCTCTCCTTTATATCTGGTCTGCCCTTATTGCTGTGTCTTAACCTCTAGAGAACAGGGCCTTCTAATCTATCACTAAGAATTTTCTGGCCTTCACCTCATAACACCATACAGGAATATTGGTTGTATTCAGTTAAAAAAAATGTTTTATATTTTGAATTATGAGTAACATATACCTACTTTTCTATCAGCCTTTGATGCTCAGCATAGGAAAGGGATCTGTTCTTGTAATGATTTTTTTAAAGGTGATATTTTTACACTAAAAAAAGAAAACAATCAGAATTTGAAATCCAATAATAATTTTAAAGAGAGGAAACTAAATATGGAGTGACTTGTAGATGAATTAATAAGATAGCACAGCAAAGACAATGTCAGTATTACTATTCAATCCAGATCTGAAAATCCAAAGCCTTACATCAGGAGTCAGTAAACCATGGTCCGAGCACCATATTTGGCTTGCCACTTATTTTGTAAATAAAGTTTTATTGGAACACACCCATGCCCATTTATTTGTATATTGTCTTTGGCTACATTTGTGTCATAATGGTAGAGTTGAGTAGTTTCAACAGAAACTTGTGGCTCCATAAAGCCTAAAACGTTTACTATCTGGCACTTTGCAGAGGAAGTTTGCCAGGCCCTGCCTTACCTCAACCATTGGCCAATAACTACCTCTGCCTCTTCCTCTACTAGCAGTAATACCAGTACCAGTGGTGCTTTACCATCCACATATTATCTTATACCAACAAAACAACTTGTAGCATACCAGCTGTTCGTGCTTGAGGGGCAGACATCAGGAATAACAGTTGTTTCTTTCCCATGGCAAAGAAATATGATGCTGTATCCTAAATATATAGAATTAGCCCTGAGAAAATAATGTATACAAATGCAGCATCTAGAAAACAAAACCTGTGTCAAGACTTTAGTCATAGAGGATGACTCAGGAACAAAAAGCAAAGTTGACGTTGTTCTCTAAAGCAGAGGCCCCCAATCCCCAGGCCATGGACTGGTACATGGACCATTACCGCACAGCAGGAGGCAAGTGAAGCTTCATCTCTATCTACAGGTGCTCCCCATCACTCACATTACCGCCTGAGCTCCGCCTCCTGTCAGATCAGCGGTGGCATTAGATTCTCATAGAAATTTGCACCCTATTAAGAGCCACGCATACAAGCTTGTGAGCCCTTATGAGAATCTAATGCCTGATAATCTGAGGTGGAACAGTTTCATCCCCAAACCATCCCCCCGACCCACTGTCTATCTGTGGAAAAATTGTCTTCCATGAAACCAGTCCCTGGTGCCAGAAAGGTTGGGGACCGTTGCTCTAAAGTATAAATGAAAGAATTCAGTTTTTAAAGGCAATGAATTAATTTTGACTGTAAACTCTTGCAAGACCATCATAACACATCATTTAAATCTGTATGTTCTTTGAAAGCCATTTTTCCTGAGTGTAAATTTTACAATTGCATTTTTTAAGGATATCATAAAAATTTGGGATTATGATATCTTTTTAAAAATTAAATCCCTTATGTCTAATGTCTGATCAACTCCATGTCCTGTGTAATTCACAAGGCTAAATGTAGAAAGTAGGGAATACTGGCCTCAGGCCGCTCTTTTGTGGGGTGGGGAAAGGGATTGACTCAGGCATATCTCCTCCTGTTTCTCAAAGTAGTTCTTTAAAATTCCTAATGTGTAGAATGAAAACTCTAGCACACACTCTGCATGGTGAACCACATGCCAGGTGCCTTTAGGTAGAGAGGCAAAACTGAGGTACCACAGGGGTACAATTTATTAAAATTAACTGAGCTCGTGTAATTTGGATTCATGTTTCCTGATAACTGCAGCTTATAGACCTTACCTCAAATGTCTCTGGCCTAAATATTTTTTAAAGAAACATTAAAAGTTTTCTTTTTCTCCTTTAATACTGCAGTGAGTCTTTAAATGCAAATAATGGTTTCTTTTGAAAGGCAAACAGATGCTCCATTTAAGGGGACTCCATACAGATGCAAAGAAAGTAGCTTAAGGTGCAGAGACTCTTGGGAAGTTCTCCAAAGTGATCCTGGAATCTTAGCACCTTAAAAAGAAACCTTAGGGGTCATTTATTGAAATCATCTCTTCATGCAGATGAGAAAACTCAGACCCCTCTTCCCTGGTCATGCGAAGTCTGACTGTTGTATTTTTCTCCATACCTTGTTGCTTTCAGTCTTTGGTGGTTATGGTTTGCAAATGGTCATTTATGCACCTGTAACAGAGTGGGAAAGGCTACGTATTTGGAATCACAAGTCCATGTCCAGCATTTATTAGCCATGTGACCTTGGGCAAGTCAGTTATCTGAGCCTTATTTTCCTAATCCTCAGCATGAGGATGGTGTCTCTGCATCTGGTAGAGGGGCTATCATGATGATCAAGCGCGGTGTCGCTAGAAGTACTTTGTAAGCTAGAAATCATCTAAAGGAGCTTCCATTTCACTTACATCTCATTTGGTGAATGAGAATGTAGGAGTGATTGTCAGTAATAATAGCATCCACCATTAGTTGAACAGTCAATTAAAATAATCGAAAGAAATCAATTGAAAAAACAATCACTTTTGCAACAGTATTTTGTGAAGGAATATATAGACTATTTTGAATCACTTCAAAAGTTACTGTAATCACTTTTAGGAAATAGTTTAATCCCATTTCAGTTTGCTCAGAAGACTAATCGTTTATTCCTTTTTGTCTTTCAGCATTACCCAAGGAATATCAGAAGATAGGAAAGGCCTTGCAGAGTTTGGCCACAGTGTTCAGTTCCAGTGGCTATCAAGGTGCGTCTTTCTTCATTCATCCAGTGGGCCTTTAGAGCCTTATGTAGACCTGTCACCTGCTTAGGATCCTGCAGACGCTAACTCCCTCCTCAGTGAAGCACCCTGGTTGTGGGTGTGTAAATTGGCTAGGCTGCCGCACTAAGGACTTTTGCACCCTCATCCTAGGACTTTTGAGAAAAGCCAAAGGTGGTTATAATTTGTATTTTCTTGCTAGCTCGTTTGCCTTTTTTTGCTCTCTGGTGTAGCGCTTTTGTTTCAATGCCATCAGTTTCATTTCTCTGCCAAGTCTTCCTGTGACAGAGGCCAGATTTGGCTGGGCACAGTGGCTCACACCTATAATTCCAACACTTTGGGAGGCTGAGGTGGGCAAATCACTTGAGTCCAGGAGTTTGAGACCAGCCTGGGCAACATGGTGAGACCCCCATCTCTACAAAAAAATAAAAAATTAGCCACGTGTGGTGGTGCATACAGGTAGTTGCAACTATTTGGGAGGCTGAGGTGGGAGGATCACTTAAGCCCGGGAGGCAGAGGTTGCACTGAGCCATGATCTTACCAGTGCACTCCAGCCTGGGTGACAGAGCAAGACCCTGTCTCAAAAAAAAAAAAAAAAAAAAAAAAAAAAGCCAGATTTCATCAAGGCCATTTCAAGGAAAAATGTTTGACCAAGTAACAAGTGTGTGTTGCCTGTTTTCTCCTTAACTCATAACTGTTTCAGCTTATCCTATAAATGTGTATCTTACCCAGGGATCCCTTTGTGGTTTACATTGGCAGCACTTATGAGAGCAAGTTAGCTCTTTTTCTTTATTAAAAGGGAAAGGAACCCAGGCAACATAAGGAGACCCCATCTCTACAAAAAAATAATAAAATAAAAATTAGCCAGGCATGGTGTCACACACCTGTAGTCTCAGCTGTTCTGGAGGCTGAAGCAGAAGGATCGCTTGAGCCCAGGAGGTCGAGGCTATAGTGTGCCATGATCACACCACTGCACTCCAATATGGGCAACAGAGTGAGACCCCATCTCAAGAAAAAAAGAAGAAAAAGCATTTGTCAGCTAGGTGGCACCTATTAAATCTGTTATCTCCTGTCACTTATAGAAGTGGTAGAATTGGTACAGGTGTTGATCCTGATACTCAAGGCAGACAGTGCTTTGGATGTCGGTTTCTGAATATTTTAATAATAAACTAATAAGAAGTTTCTCACCAAAATGTAAGATTTAGGGCTCCCACATGGCAATAGTTCTCATTGCCCTGGCCTTACCATGTCTTACAGTTGACACTTTTAGACCAGAAGCGGGCTTTGAGGTCTAGACTGGGAACTCAAGGCCAGAACAGAGAAGCATCTTGGCCCAGGTAACAAGTGGGTGATGGAAGAGCTGAGAGCAAGCCACGCCCATTGCTTAGGGAGGAGGCAGAGGTCTTGGAGCCCTTTTAGCATGGTGGCTCTGTGATGTCTCAACAGGGTGAGAAGATTTGTCCTAGAGATGCTGGAATTTTGGCCATCATGATGGCCCGGCTCCACAGGCATCCATGGGTTCCCCACTGGGAGCTGCTTCGTGATTCTTTAACATTTTCTGGACTGTGATTATCAATACATAATTAAATGTTCCATATTGCAAATAGCACTTTTTCAAGTATTAAAAATACTCAGTGTATGTTTTATGTTGAATATCATTCTACTTAAGATAATATTTTAAGGAAGCATTCAAGTTCCTGTTGACTGGCTTTTCTCCCATTACAAAGGACAGTGAAGGTCAGCAGTGTGGAGTACTGTGTCCATCACATCCACTTGCTCAGATGTGTTGGCGTCTTAGAGCAGTGCTATACTATGCGATCTTGCAATAATGTAAATGGGTTTGATTCCTGGAAATATTGTGATTATAGTAAAAATAACTTCCAGTGCTCCTTTACAAGTTCATGTACTAACTTGAAATAATACAGACTATTAGCATGGCCCCTGCACAAAACCATGAAACATTGCATATTCTTATGGATGAGCATATGGAAATATAAGCAATAAAAATTCTTAAATGATTATAGGGAAGGAGAGAGAGAGATGGAAGGTAAACTGATTATATCTTGTTTTGTACAGTTGACTTTGGAATAATGTAAATGCTTTACATAATTATTAGAAAACAAATTTAAATCAAAATGGAAAAAAAATTTCTAATCAAAAGCAAAATAAAACAAATGATACATCAAAATGAAGGCATAGCACACAGAGGAATTGTTTCAAAACACCTTAAAATGGCATTTTATATGCCCCCAGGAGCGGGTGCCTCAAGGTCAGAAAGACTATAAGAATGTTAGTTGTTTTCACTAAACATGTAGTCAATATCATGTTGGTATTGTTATTCTAAAACTTCTAAAACTATTTACATATTGTAGGATAAAGCAAATACGTAATTATGTTACTGTTGTTAGCAATTAAGATTTTTAAAATAAAAAGTTTTAAAATAAATGAAGAAAACCCCTAAAGTCATAAATTTGCTTTGGAAACAGTGTGAACTCATTACATGATTTCCTTCTTAAAAAAAAATACAGTTTGCCTTTCTGTTAAAGCTCTAGAAACAGTTACCCAATCCAGTAGCAAGAAGCATTCCCTGGCACCAATCGTAAGGTCCACGTCCCACCACAGTGAACCAGGGTTCCTATCAAAAGACTTAGATACCAATTGGAAGAGCCTACCACTGGCCAAAGAAAAGAAAATGTGAGCATTAGTGAAAATAATAATTAATGTGGAATGAAGCATATCAAATATTTTTAAATCCAGAATTATAAAGATGCTTTTTAAGAAATTAATCTCAGTTACTTTTGGAGAATGGTGGTGGATTAACTCATTATTTTGAAAACTATAAAGAGAAAGAATTAAGCACTTAACCTGCTTTTCCTGTTCAAACTCTACCTCTGGGTAACCGGAATATTGATAAAGGAAAGTTGATCCTTATGGAAGTATTTCAGCTAATAAAGAAGGAATGGTAGAAATAGAATAGCACCATTTTGCAAACTCATACTAAAATAAAAGATCCAGACAATGGTCATTCTAGGTAACGATCATTTTCTAACATTCTAAGAGTAGAAATAACTGAACTGGTGGTGTGTGACTCTGATCAGGCCTCTAGGTCTAATAGCCAGTGTGAAGAGAACACAGGGACAGGGGAGTGTGTGACATATCACCAGAGACACAGCCAGCAGCATCCAGAATGCAGGCACCAGGGCACACGACAAATTCAACACCCCACGAAAAGAAAGGTGCAGGGAAAAAAGGGGCCGAGGGAGAAGAATCCACAGAGTTAAGAAACGCATCAGTTCTGTGCCGTATGGACCTTTACATCCTGATTCAAGCAGCCAGCTCTCCCTGAGAGGCCTCATTATAGCCGAATGACAGTCTCGTCATAGGTGTCATAATGGTACTGCCTCATGTTTTAGAGTCCTCATCTATTAGGCAAGATTTATGAATGAGATGCTGATGTCCGGTGAAAGCGGGTCGGGGTGTAGACGAACACAGGCTGGCGAGAGCTGCCAGTGGGGAAGGCAGATGGTGGGTGATGGGCATTCATTCTATTCCCAATAGTTTTGAAAATGTTTGAAAGTTTCTATAATAAAATTTACCAATAAAATCAATAATAAAATTTTAACAAGTGAAAAGAAAATATGCATAACTTATAACCACTGATAAAATTGATCATTTTCAGGTGAAACAGATCTCAATGATGCAATAACAGAAGCAGGAAAGACTTATGAAGAAATTGCCAGTCTCGTGGCAGAACAGGTACTAACATAATCACACAATTCCAATTAAGATTTGTTGCTATCTAGTCCACATATTTAATTTAAAACCTGTCTTAGGACAAACGTCCCAAATAAGTACCCTCTTCTTTTCTGTTTCTGTGTATCTTTTTTAATTGTGTTTAATCATGGTTTCTTAGGTTAAGACAAAGTGGATGAATACATTTGTCATCAAGAAATCTAAATAGGCCAGGCACAGTGGCTCACACCTGTAATCTGGCACTTTGGGAGGCCAAGGCGGGTGAATCTCTTGAGTCCAGGAGTTCGAGACCAGCCTGGGCAACACAGTGAACCCCCAAAAATTAGCTGGGTGTAGTGGTGTACACCTGTAGTCCCAGCTACTCGGGAGGCTGAGGTAGGAAGATTGCTTGAGCCCGGGAAGTCAAGGCTGCAGTGAGCCATGATCATACCACTGCACTCCAGCCTGGGTGACAGAGCGAGACCCTATCTCAGAAGAAAAAAAGACATCTAAATGAATGCACTCCAGTATTGATGCCTCTGATCTGTTCTTAGCCATCAGGGGATTCTAAAGAACAGGAAAGAATGCTGGCTCAGATCTGTATGGACCATTGCTTAGCCTCTCTGAGCTGTGGTTTCCTTATCTGTTAATCTGCAGTGGTAGTGCCTACCCTGTATGATTCTTAAGATTTAATAGCTCATAAATAAAAAGCACCTGCTACAGTCCCCAGGACAGGGTAGGTCCTTGTCATAGCTACATAGCTTTTATTGGAGTCTTTAGTACCCCAGTTTCAGGGGCTTTTTAGATAACAGATAATAAGTTCCCTTAAGAAGAATCTAAGTTATTTTCTAATCCCTTAATTAAAAAAAATTTTTTTTCAGATGACTTTAAACTATGTGTATGGATGCACACATGTGTACACACACTAATGTGGTTGTGGGCTACTTTGCTGATACTTCTAAAAAAGCATTCATTTTAATAACATAGCTATTAAAGTTATAATTCAGAAAAAATGGAAAAATTTAAAATTACCACTTAAAATGATTAGTTTTAATATTTTTATATTCTCTGCTCATATTTAGAAGTTAAACTACAACAACTCATTTGTTTGTGTGTAAACATACAGCATTAGCTGAACTTCCTTCATGGTGGTATTATTTTGGGCCACGTCAAAATAACTAATTTTACAAACCAACTTAAAAATTACATGATGTTTTGTTGTTTTCTTTACAACATATGATTCAAAGTATGGCAGTCTTGGGAGTTATTTTCTTTTAGAAAAAGTGATCTGAATGCTTAACACTCAATAATTTAGTGTAGCACATGCAGGATTTATAGTCTTTGGGTATAATAGTTCTCTTTTCCTTGATTTTCTGAATTTCTCTGCCAGTAACAATCAGCTTGTATCTTGTTATAGCCAAAGAAAGATCTCCATTTCCTGATGGAATGTAATCACGAGTATAAAGGTTTTCTTGGCTGCTTCCCTGACATCATTGGCACTCACAAGGTAACCTGATCGTAGACATTTATAGAAGACAACAGCAGGTGAAGGAGGCAGATGTGCGCAGTAGTCAGTATTGGTTTTATATGTTTATTATTAAAAAAGAAACAATCTATAATTCCCATTAGAAAGGTTTTGTAACTGAATTTTGACATTGGTTTGGGGTGTCCTCACATATGAATTCTGGTTTTCTCTCCCTTTTTAAAAATCTGTACATCACCTCAGGCATGAGTTGTGAGTATTTTATATTTTATGTCAACCATAGTAGTCTATCGTATATTATGATGTACTTGGATTTGTTAGGAAAATCTCTGCAAAGGGCTGGTCTGTGATCTTAACAGTCCTGGCATGTGGCCATTTTAGCATTCTGCTTTATAACTTAAATATCATGAAGGGGTACCATAGGTAAATTAGGTTTGTACAACTTCAGATAACTTAATATAAAACTCAGAAAAATTAGCTTGCTGTCGAAATGTATGCCAGCAGCATCAGAGTTGTAGGCCTGGAGCCTAATTAATGCATGAGTATAGAGTTGTTCCTTCCAGACAGCGGTAAATAACGAGCAGCGTGATGACACTGGAGTGGGAAATGTTTGGCAGCTTTTCTAGCCGCTTCCATCTGAGTCTTTAAATGGATTCAGCGCCTCTTAAAAAATCAAAGGAAAGCCCAGGACTTAGAATCAGCACACTTAGGCACTAGCTTATAAAATATTCTGTTGTATAAAAAAAGAGAGAGAGTGCCTGTGTGCACATGCTGCCCTGTACCTAGCCACATGACTTCCAAAACCTGCTAATGCCTGATTTCCATTACGTGCTACTCCTCAAATGGCAGCGGCTTCTGAATATTACAGAGATGGTGTGCTGTTTGCTTTTCTCTTTTGTTGTAGCATAAAACTGTTCATTTTAGCTTAGTGACATTTGTCAAGAATAGCAACCTTTTTGCTTCCAAGGGACTTGAAGGAAGTTAAATTTAGATGCTTTCCTCTCTTCTTATTTTGTGGAGGTATTTCCTGTTCAGTAGCAAATCAGTTATAGAATATATTAGCATTGTTATATTTTAAACTAATGACTAATCATTTCAGCTTTATTCATACTGTTGCATTTTATATTTCACAGGGAGCAATAGAAAAAGTGAAAGAAAGTGACAAACTAGTTGCAACAAGTAAAATCACCCTACAAGACAAACAGAACATGGTGAAGAGAGTCAGCATCATGTCTTACGCGTTGCAAGGTAAGATGAAAGGGTCCTTATGAGGTGCTGGTGGAAGTTTTTTTTTCCCCAGCAAAGTTTCCCTTGATAGAGAGAAATCCAGATGTGAGCAGCAGTTAAGTAAGTGAGACCTTTTAAGCCCCTCGTTTGCAGGATCCCGGTGCTGATGAAAATCTGTAATATTTATTTAATTTTTCACCTGTCCACCTTATCTGGCTATAGATGACAGCTTGATTAAAACTGTACATTTTATTATTTCTGAGAGACATTTAAGATTCCTTTTGTAATCTGTGGTATCATAATGCTCTATTAAATGCCAGAGCCCAGCTTTTAGCAGTCTGTAACCTGCGTGCCTTGGGATCATGGAATGTGAAGGGGTTTGGGTGTGTCATTTTAGGCACAATTTTTTTGTGTCAAGAAAAAAAAAAGATGAATTTCTATAGGTTTGAGTGTTTTTGAGCAGATGAGGGCAGCAAGTGGATTTTTCCTGTTGGCGGATGGGTGGATGGCACTTGGATGGGCAGAGAATGGAGAGCGTGTTCTGTTAGGAACAAAAGCCACAAAATTGTGGTGCTAGATTGTGTCATGGGCATGAAAGAGTAAAACATACTTAGAGGTTATTGGGAAATAAATTTTGATTGTGAAGGAACTTGAAAGCTCTAGACTTGATGCAGGCATTAAGAAGCCATTAAAAGGGAGTAAAAAAAAATCAATCCTCAAGGGAGAAGGATTTGCTGGTTATGGAGGGGAGATTGGAAGATGCAGACACTGTCCAAGAGCCCAGCCAGAAGACCATCTCACTGTTGTAGTCTGAGCTTTGAGGGCCTAAAGATGTGGTACTGGGGAGAAGAGAATGAAGCACATTTGCAGGCTTTTCCAAGGAACAGCTTTCAAGACTGGGGCATTCATGGGAGAAAGAGAAGGATGAGGGAGGTGTCCAGAGCCAGGCCACTACGGCAAAAACGAGGAACCCTGATTGAAGTTTCGGGTTTTGAAGGGTTTGAAATGGGGAGTTTGGTTTTGAACTTGTGTTTGAGGTTATCCAAATTGAGAAATACAAAGCTTTGTATAACTTCAAGTAACTGAATGTAAAATGTAGAACAGTTTGCATGTCATGGGAATCTGTGCAGCCGCTGGCTTTCTCAGCCTGGAGGGTTTGGGAGAAGGCGGCATAGGAGGCATCCGAGGGAGGCAATGAGGTCCTCTGATGACGAAGACTCCTCTAGAGTTGGGGGCAGGGGCAGGGGGGACAGAGAAAGAAGGAATCCATGTATTCAGCAAACATGAAGAAAGTTGTCCCTCAGCATCCAGTCCTCCTGCCCTGTGAGAGGTTGAGTTCTGACAGCGTCGCTGGTGCTCAGGGGCAGCAAGGCTTCCCGTACTGAAGAAGGGTCTCCCGCTGTCCCACACGCTGCCCAGCCTTTCACCAGAAACCTGCTGAAGCAATTGCTGTGCAGGAGGGAGCGGGGCAGGGACCCCAGCTGCCTGCTAGGTCCAGTGCAGACACACCAGAGGCTTTGAACTGCAGTCATCTGTAACAAATATGACCAAGTATTTTCTATTTGATCGATTCTGTTAGAGTAATAGGCTGCATTTGGGTGATTTATCTGTATTGGATTTTATAGTTTTGAATATGCAAGACAGTGAAAGTCATTCATTTACTGGAAAGTAATGTTTGTCATTAGCTTGTTTTGTTTTGTTTGTTTTGTTTGAGACAGTCTCGCTCTGTCACCCAGGCTGGAGTACAGTGGTGCAATCCCGGCTCACTGCAACCTCCATCTCCTGAGTTCAAGCAATTCTCCTGCCTCGGCCTCCCAAGTAGCTGGGATTACAGGCACCTGTTGCCATGCCCGGCTAATTTTTGTATTCTTAGTAGAGATGGGGTTTTGCCATGCTGGCCAGGCTGGTCTTGAACTCCTGACCTCAGGTGATCCACCCACCTCACCTCCCAGAGTGCTGGGATTACAGGTGTGAGCCACTGCGCCCAGCTCAACTTGTTTTTCTAACCTCTTAGTAAAGTGATTTACCAAGAACTGACAACAGCAGCCAACCAGATTAGGTCAGGTTGATGATTAATTGTAACTGAGCAGAGAAACCAGGTGTTGTCATTTGAAAACTTGAGGGAAAACTGATTGATGTTCTGATTTGGGTTGTAGCTGAGATGAATCACTTTCACAGTAACCGGATCTATGATTACAACAGTGTCATCCGCCTGTACCTGGAGCAGCAAGTGCAATTTTACGAAACGGTGAGTGGGCGTCCACGTGCCTTTCGCATGTGCTTGAGGAGAGGGTTCCTGGTAAACCACTTTGACCATGTAAAGTTAATCTGTTTGTATTCTTTAATCCTAAGTAATAAACCAAAGGAGCCTAAATTTTGGACAGGATTTTTTTAATCTCCTAATTCCATCTGCCCTTTGCTTTTTGGATAACACTGGGTTAAAAAAGATTTTCTTCTGAAGCAGGGGTCTTGGATGCTAGTTGCAAGGCCCCAAGAAGTTCCTTATTGTGCAGCTCCTTCCCCCCGTCACAGCCTCTCTGTGCCTCTGTGCACCAGGAACGGTGCTGAATGAGATGAGGTCACCCAGCCGTCCCTGGGACTCCGTTGGCAGCTGGAACAGGAGCCTGGCACCACACAGGAAACCAAAGGCAGCCTTTGCTTTTTGTGAATGAGGTTTTCACAGTGCGCCATGGAAATCGCAGAGAGAAAACCAAAAAAGCGAGATGTGGGATGGTTTTATTCACAAAACAATAACGAAAACTTAAATTTTTCTTACCTCTGCTTAGTAATTTTGTTGTTTACCAGAGTCTATAGAAAACAAAAATCTAGTAGCATGTCTCCCTCAGACACCTGCAGGTAAGGTCTGTAATGTAGAATCCAGCCTCCGCTGGCGGCCTTGCTGCCTACCCAGCTCCCCTCTGGCCATGGGATCTAAGCCATGTTCATGGGGAGTGGTGAGCAAGCCCTCTGCTCAGCCATACTGGTGGCATCTGCGAGCTGGACACTGCTGAAAACGCCTGTCTCCAGCAGCCAGTTCTTAAAGGAGAACTGTGCTTGATGTACCTAATGCATATTTGTGAATTGTGTCTTGGACAGTTGGTTTGGGAGACTAACTTACGGGAGGAACTCACCTAAGCCCTGTCCTCCCTTACAGGACGTGGGCCCTATGCTCTTTAAATGCACACTTTTCCCGTCAGTTGGTGCCATTGTGGATTTGCCTTTCATTGTATATTAGAATATAACAGATTACATTTGTCTGTGTGAGAAAATAATGCAAGGGCAACTCTCAAAATTTTGATAGTGTTGATTTATTGATTTTCAAGTCCAGGTATGGTATAGTGACATTGTAATTCAGAATAGAAAACCATGTATTTCATCACTGTCTTTGCATAAACCTAAGTAGCTGATATAACATTGTTAGGTTTTAGATCTAAGTTTTATGGCAAAGTAACCCTTAAGTTACTAAAATTTGTGTATGTGTTCATGGAGCAGACATATATTGAGTGTTTCTTATATACCAAGCCCTCGTGCTGGATGTTTAGCATCCAGGGATGGATAAGACAGCTGTGCCTTCAAGGAGCAAGAGGCCCTGGCGCAGAGACCACTGCAGCGCCTCGTTAGCTTCACAGGCAGGCTCGTGCTGTCTGCACACTCAGCAGTGACAGCAGGGTGTGGCCAGGGCGACACAACCTTCAGGGGATTCTGGAAGCTCATACTCCTCCAGGAAAGAGGGGGCTCTAGGCAAACATGAAGGCCTGAGCCCCCAGCTCATCTGAGGAAAAGCAGGTGGTCTGGAAGCGCCGCTAGGGCAGAGGTGGGGAGCATGTGTAGACGCCTCCCGGCGGGAAGGGACCACCAGGGCCAGCTCGGGCCCCAGCGCTGCCGGTGTCATTCGGGGTTAAGGTCTGTCCAGCAGCAACGCGGGGCAGGGCTGGTGCCAAAAAGACCAGTTAAAGAATTGGAATTTGTGTCATGTTTAACTTGTTGGAGTTGTGAATAAAGAACACTGTGAGGTCGTAATGGGAGTGATATCTCAACGTTGTTTTGTTTTGCTTTCTTGTCAGATTGCAGAAAAGCTGAGGCAGGCCCTCAGCCGCTTTCCAGTGATGTAGGACAGAACGGGCCTTGAAGAGAATGCCGCGTGCTTTCTCCTGACTTGGGGCAATGCAATTCAAAACTTTTTTTCCCCTATTATTCAGAAAAAAAAGGAAACAAAACCAAAAAGAAAGAGTTGCAAAAAACTGCATTTATTTTATTAGCCACCCTAAATGCGTCAGTTATTTAGGGATGGTCTTTTGTTCATTTCCGCATCCATTATTTAAACCAGTGGAAATTGTCTCTATTTTTGGAAAGTACTTAAAAGTTACCAGAATTTTCAATGGAAAATGAGGGGTTTCTCCCCACTGATATTTTACATAGAGTCATAATTTATATGTCTTATAAATTATAAGTCTTATATAATTTATAAGTCTCCCACAATCTTCCAGTTCTTACCCAGTGTCAGATAATTAATTACTAATTACTTTCTTAAAAACATGAACTATGCCAGAATAAAAAATATCTATGTTTGTATATTTTTATAACTCCTTTCAGTCCTCTGGGGCTCCTGTCATTGAGGGAAGTCGTTACGCCTTTCACTGCCACAGTTACAGCTCAAGTGCTTACACTTCAAGAGGGAGGACGCTGGGGGCCCCTGGGGCTGCTAGTGCCATCGTGGTGTGTGGCAGGTGGGCCATCCCATGTCCCTCCAGGGGGACCCCACAGCCTGGCAGATGAGCAGATACCCCTGGCCACCCATGTCCTCAGCGACATTTCTGATGTGCTGCTCTTATGTGAGGACCAGTGCTTTCTCTCTTTGCACTTCCTTCCTAATCTTGGTTAAGGCATGTTTTATGCCATGAAGAATACATTAGAAGAATTGAGGGACTTTGTAGAGAATTTTGTGGCTTTGGTCCAACGGGTGAGTGGCTGTGCGGAGGCCTGTGTTCGGGAGGGCCTGGGAGAAGGAGGGCACCCAGCACCCCGGCGTCTCTGGCCCTTTCTTATTCTTTGGCTCCTCATCCACCGTGATGAGAAGCGCTGCTGTGGCCACGGCACACTGCTTGGCTTGGGTGGCGGGTTCATGGCCAGTTGGTGTCATCAGCAAAGAGAAAAAGCACAGGTTAGCTCCCCATTAGATGGAAAAGTGTAGGGACTGAGAAGGGCTGCAGCCTCAGCAGTGTACAGAGTCCCCGGCGCTCTGAGGTTGGAGAGAAAGAACAGACCAGCGCCCTTCCCGACTACATCCGAAACTTCACACAGGGTGTTTCTGAGCACCAGCACTTCCAGCGCTTCACTTAACGGCATAAAGCAAAACAGGACCTTGGCACACCGTCAGCTCGAACTCAACACTGGCAGCCACCGTCTCACCCCTGCGGAGGAGCGCTCCCGTCTCCCACAGGTGCCTTACCGCGTTCCCTCCCGCTGCTTTCATTTTTCTGACCTAATAATTACGGGAAATGGAAAGTCTGGGCCAGCATCAATAAAATGACACCAAAAATAAGTAGATGAAATCAAATGAATATGAGAACATCTTGTTCTTCAATATCACGGGTTTTTGTTAATGTTTCATAAGTAATTCTCCCCACTTGATTTTTCTTCTATAAAATCCCATAGAACAATGTTTATGCTATAGCCATTTAATATATGTACAAATTGTAAAGAATATGTATAAATGTTTTACACGAATGTAAGAGCATGTAGAAGCCAACATATAAATAAATTGTTTAAAAAAACTGTACAGTAAATTCTCAAAGCACTTTTTCAAAACACTTTTTGGACTTTGTGTGTGATTTTTGTTGTTGTTGTTAAGTACTTTTTATTCCAGCTGCTGAAAATGGTCCAGGTAATGAATTCTTCCCCAAATCCTATTTCTTCTGACATGAATTCATCATTTCAGTTCCGTAGGTCAGTGTTGCGGTCCGGGAAGCGTATCATAACCACCTGGGAGTTGCCAAGAAGCAGACAGTCTCCCAGTGTCTGACTCTCGGATATTTGGATTTGACTGGTGTGAGGCAAAGTGAAAAAGGGATGGGGGAAATGGAGATGGCACGGGCTCCTCAGAGCGTGGTAGCCGACTGTGAGGAAAAGCAGAGGGAATGTGAAAGAAAATAAGAGAATCCACGGGATTTGATGCCTGGAAGATTCTCCTTCAAGTGGCAACATGGCATATATATCCTTCTCCGGGGAGTCACATGCACCATTTGGTTCTTAGATACGTTGATGTTTTGATTTTTAATGATTTGTATCAACCTGTAGGTACCACAGAAGAGCTGTAGTCATACAATCACATAACTTTTACAAATATAGTGGAAAAAAAGTCAGTATTTGGAGAGGAGAGATGAAGGCGTGGTGGAAGAAAAGGTCAGTCTCGTTGTCAAGCAAGTGACGTCAGTTGCCTCCCACCAGGAGCAGCAGTCCCGGGATGTCAACCCACTGCATGGTTTGTAGGTGTTGGGGTCACCAAGAAAGATGACTCACAGAGGCACTGGGTGGAACAACGTAACTTGATTCATTTTCTTATTGGTGACTTTATTCACTTTCTTTCTTTTGTGGTAGCTTTATTCATTTTCTTATTCTGTCATTTTAAAAATGTTTTCTTACAAAAGTACCTGCTGGGTCTGGGGTTTGATGTTGCCCTACTTACAAGCAAGTAATTTAGTCTGTTGCTGTTCCATGGATACTGGAAGGGGCCATGAGACTCGTGGGTCTACTCACATAGAGAAGAGACAGCATGATCTACTTCTGTCATGGGCTTCAGTCCCAGGGAGATGGTCTGTGGGCACCCCCCATCCCCCCGCCCCCGGTGGGCAGCGTTGACAGGCTGTGCATGGCAGCCTCTCCCGGCACCACTGGTCTACATCTTCACTAAATCCATAGATCCCTGCCTAACAACTGGGAATCCAGAATCTCACAGTCTTGTTTATTTATTTATGAGATAATCTCACTCTGTGGCCCAGGCTGGAGTGCAGTGGCATGATGTCAGCTCACTGCAACCTCTGCCTCCTGGTTTAAGGGATTCTCCTGCCTCAGCCTCCCATGGCGCACACCACCATGCGTGGCTAATTTTTTTTGTATCTTTAGTTGAGACGGGGTTTCACCATGTTGGCCAGGCTGGTCTTGAACTCCTGACCTCAGGTGATCTGCCCACCTCAGCTTCCAAAAGTGCTGGGATTACAGACATGAGCCACCACACCCAACCTCACAGTCTATAAAGTAGTCAAAGTAAAAAAGGTGTGATGGCTGAGCAGAACTGAACAGTGATGGGTGAGAATGGCCCTGTTTTTCCTGTGTGTGTGTAACTCAATTTTCCCAACCTGTTCGATTTTAAATCCCTTTCCGCAAGCAAGTAGGAAGAATGAGTTCCCCTTTTGGGAGAATATTTTCCGTGGGTCTCTCGCACTCCACCTGGCTTTTTTGCTGGCTATGTCAAGAACACAGAGCCCTGACTGCTCTTCACCCAGGCCGCCCCTCCACACTGCATCTGTAGCAAGCTACTTGAGGGACAAGGTCATGTTTTGGAAGGAGTATGGGCTTGCCTGCTGCTTGCTGTAAAACAGTGGGTTTTCCAGCTCCAGGTCCTCCTCTAAAAACCCACTGTCTGAGCAGGCACCCTCTGGCCACTCAAGGTTCCACCAGGGGACTGGCAGGGCAAGGAGAACTGGAGTTTGTGTTACTTGCTGTGTCATGGCTTATCAAGTCCTTTGCCCCTGACCCAGGAGACTGTCTCATGTCCCCTGCCAGTATCCATGGAACAGTAACAGACGTTTGCTTGTAAGTAGGGCAACATCAAATCCCTGACCCAGCAGGTGCTTTTGTAAGAAAACATTTTTTAAATGACAGAATAAATGAATAAGGCCACCAAAAAGACATACACTAGCCTAGACTGTTGGAAGATGAGGAATGGTCTTTCACACCCCGTCAGCATACAGTAGAAAAGAACAAGCAAGTTGAGATTTCATCAAAGCAGAAATGAGAATGTTTTGAATGCCATTGGCAATTCAACGGACAAAAAGCAAGGTTGTCTGAAGACCATGAATCCCCATGGGGAGAGGATGGCTTCGTTTCTGACTTGACAATAAGCTCAGAGGTCTTTGGGTGGGATCCATATCTTAGAAAAAATTGCCAAGTCCAGTGAATCATTCTGTAGGATTTGTAGAACTCTGAAGACAGAATGAGAGTGAGGTCATGTGAGCTTGACTCCAGGAACCATGTGAGCTTTGAAAGAACCACTCTGTCGAAGCACTATTCTTCAAAGGTTGGGGAACTTCCCACCTGGCTCGACTCTGAGAGGAGGAGGTACCTAGTGCTGGGTGAGGGAGGCCAAGAGGTGGGCTTAGGGGAAGTCATTAATTCTGGAGAGAAGCCACTGGCTGTACTGAAAACATGCTAGCTTGCCAGCAAGCTGGAAAGGACTGCTCTGCTGGGTACGAGGTGGTGGTGAGCATGGGCGTAGGTGGCTGCCACCACTAAATGTCCAAGGCTGCAGGGAACAGGTAGCTCCATCAGTTGTCCTTAAAACAGTAGTTCTCCACCAGAAGTACTTGTGCTCTCCAGGACTCACTTGGCTGTTTCTGGAGACAGTTACTGAGGGGTGTTACTGTCATCTAGTGGATCCTACAGTGCACAGCACAGCCTCCGTGATAAAGAACTATCTGCCCAAAACATCAGTAATGTCAAGGTTGAGAAGCCCTGCTTTAAAGCAGACAACTGCTATTTGCCTTGTGGTCAATAGGTATTTTCAGGTACATTCAGAAGGAGCTCAAATGCCTGTGGATAAGGATAAAAAGCCATTATCAATAAAATCTAAGAGGCCCAGAAATAGAGTGACAGGGAAATCTCTAAAAATGCAGAACTGGGGCTAGGAGGTAGGCCATGGGCTATTAAGGATTCAGCTTCTCCATTTGTTCTTTGGGGGTGTAATTAGGAGTGATCTTTGTTATAAAGTCGTGTTTTTCTGAATTTTTTTTACAATGAGGTTGTATTATAATCCAAAAAAATTTAAGCTGTTAGATTTGGTTTCCCAAATCACGTGTTGACTAAACGTTCATTAGTACCGGCTACGAACCAGGCACTGATTTGCCTTTCCACATACAAATCTCATTTCCTGCTTATACTATGGGATGTGGGAATCGTCAGAAGGTTGGAGACTTTCCTTCCAGTGAAGAAACACTTGGTAATGTAAAGATATTTGAATTGTCAGGAACCAAGAGTCCTAACTCTGATGCCAATACCTGTCACTTGAACGAGTCAGTGAGCTGCTGTCTACTCATCTCCAGCGTGCAGGGATGAAAACAGATGCATCCAAAAGCCCTTCCCACCTGCGGGACCCTCCCTACATCACTTAGAGAAGAGCAGGGACATGGTTCCAGGCCAGGGGCAGCACCTCTGAAACAGACTCCCAAGGCCTGCCTCCCAAGTGTCCCCCTAGGTGACCCTGACAGAGTCACCTACAAAGGTGGCAGATGCTCTTTTTCCCTTGTTTCAGTATCTTACGGAGGCATGGATTTCTGTTATTCCATGTATTACAATTATTTACACACATAATTTTTAGATCCTCATTTGTCCCAAATTTGGCTATTGGGAATCTCTCTTATGTAAATTGGTTGATTATTGTGGTCTCATGTAATTTTGTATCCTTTATCTGTGCTTTCTTTGTGTTTTTTTCATGCTATGGCAGTCTTCATAATGACCCTACACATAAGTCTATATACCAGTTTCCAAGAGTTGGACATTTAGATGTGAAATTTTTCTTTAGCTTTTATTTCTGACTACATCAGTGAGCACTAATGCACCATCGTCATGGGGTAATTAAGACAAAGATTTTTTTATTTTATTGTAAAATATACATAGCATGAAATGTACCATTTTAGCCATTTTTAAGTGCACAGTTCTGTGGCATTAAGTACTTTTACATTGTTGTGTAACCATCACCATCATCCATCTCCAGACCTTTTTCATCTTCCCAAACTGAAACCCTATACCCATTAAACAGTAATTCCCCACTTCGTCTCCACCCTGGCACCCACCCTTCTACTCTCTGTCTCTGTGACTGTGACTGCTCTAGGGACCTCATAGGTGGAATTAGTTGATATATATTCTCTATGACTGACCTAGTTCACTTAGCATGATGTCTACAAGGTCTATCATAAAGATTTCTCCATGTGTTTTCTCATAAGAATTTTTATAGGTTTGATTCTGAAAAGACAAAGTATTTTTAAAGTATAGTTGTAAAACATAGGGAGACCTACTCAAACTACTCCAAAAAATAGAGGAGGGAATACTTCCAAATTCATTCTACTAGGCCAGTATTACCCTGATATCAAAACCAGACAAAGACACATCAAAAAAAGAAAACTACAAGCCAATATCTCTGATGAATGTTGATGCAAAAATCCTGAACAAAATACTAGCAAACCGAATTCAACAATACATTAAAAAGATCATTCATCATGACCAAATGAGATTTATCTCTGGGATGCAAGGATGGTTCAACATTTGTAATGTATCACAACAAATCAATGTGATACATTATCGAAACAGAATGAAGGATAAAAATCATATCATTTCAATTGATGCTGAAAAGGCATTTGACAAAATTCAACATCCCTTCATGATAAAAAAAAAAAAACCCTTTAAAAAGGGATAAAAGGAACATACCTCAGCATAATAAAAGCCATATGCAACACACCCCCAGATAGTATCATTACTAAATGGGAAAAACCTGAAAGCCTTTCCCCTAAGATCTGGATGCTCACTTTCACTACTTAACACAGCCTAGCTATGACGAGAAAGAAAAAGCATCCCAATTGG